>NT_187625.1:0-58661 GCF_000001405.40 Homo sapiens | reverse complement strand
CCCCACGAGTGTGCCCCAGCCTGCGTGTGGCCTTGAGTGTGCCCTTAGCAGACCCTCCGTGGACTGTGATATGAGAGGGTTCTGGGGTAGGGAGAAGATCCCAGAGGGAAATGCCAGGCCGCTTACAGGGAGGGTGTCTCCGTGGAGGGCCCCTGGGCACCCAGCCTGGGACTCCCCAAGCAGAAGCTTCTCCGACCTCCTGGGTCCTGGAAGCCCTGTGGCCCCCAGGAGGTGAGTCTAGCTTTTCCAGTCCAGGGTTCATTCCCGAATCCCCAGATGAGCTTCTGTGTTCTCAGGAATGGCCTCCCCTGATGGCCCCCACCTGGCTGGGGGCCAAAGGGGCTCTTGGTGGGCCGGTACTGGTCAGCCAGGTCCCTGCCCAAGGTGACTCCCCGGAGGAGGGTAGGATAGAACCCACCCCCACAACCCTCCTGCCCTGACAGCCTGGCCAGCGCCCCGCTCTGCGTCTGACCCAGGGTTGGTTCTGCTTTGAGTCCATGATCCAAGGGCCCAGCGTGGCTGTTCCTGAGGTTTCCCGTTGGGTCAGCAGCTCTCCGCATGGCCGCCCCCTGCCTGGGCCTGCGTGGGTCAGCCCCTCTGTCTCTCCTTCCTGTCTCTGCCTCCTGAGAGCAGCAGTCCAGAACTGGGGCAAAGCATGGGGACACTTGCACATGTGGGGTCTGAGCCGTCTCTTCCTGACCACCCCCAGTCCGGACGGGCCCCCTCTAAGATAGAGCAGCAGCATGCGGGGGCTTCAGGCGAGACCCTCAACGTCTGAACAGCCCCGCCTTCCAGCCTGCACTAGGCCTCTCCTCAGCTCCTTTGCTGTGGGCACGGAGCTCCCTGAACCTCCCTGAGCTCCCAGGCTCTCCTCAGCTCCTTTGCTGTGGGCAGGGGTGGCTTGGACTCAGGGAGGCGGCCCCTTTGGGAGGGGGATTTTTTCTAAGCGGCGGGGCTGGAGAGCAGGGTTTCTGGTCCTGCCTCGGGTTGGACACTGGGGGCTGGTCTCAGAACCTCTGCAAACCTCAGTTTTCCGTCGGTAACGTCGGCACAGCTGCTTCTCAACCCAGGGCTTTGTGAACACCACTGCTGGGGGGCATCACACTCTTCCAGGCCGGCCCAGTGCCCTCTGTGAAAGGGGATGTGGCTCAGCACTGCTGGTGCAGCTCACCGCCCGGCTCCCAGACCCCTGGTGTGGTGTTTGCTGCTGTCCCCGTGGCCCAGCCCATCCTTGGAGTGCAGCCCCCACCTCCACTTGGGAGGCCTGATGGCCCCATGTCCTCTGGCCCGGCATGGACTGGCCCGTGTGGCGTGTTAGGCAGCATTTGGTCTGTTTGTTCATCAGCTAAACGGAGACGGAGCTCAGTTGGGCCTGGGGCAGCCGGGAGTGGGGGGAAGGCCAGGGCTCCTTGTGCTGCCGCACCCAGCTGTGGCTGAATACAGGTCCCCAGGCCCACCTGCCTTTTGCCTATTGCCACCAGTGTCTGGCTTCGGAGAGGTCAAGTTGTGAGAACCTCTCTGGGCATCCCTGTTGGACCCGGGGTAGCCACTGTCTGGGGTAGAGAGGGCGGTGGCTGCTGCCCCATGGCCCCAGGGCTTGGTGGGCGTCAGGCCAGGCCCCTGCTGCCCCCGCTCTGGGGAGGTGGGGACGTCCAGCACTGAGTTAGAGAGGGACTTCATCCACTGTTGCTCCTCTGTGGGAGCCGTGGCCTCTGCTCGCACTGCCTGGGTGCTTTCCCAGAGGCTCTGGAGACAGGGCCTTCTCTGAGTTAGAAGGGCGTCAGACCTGCTCTCTGCCTGGTCGGGGCGGGGTGCTGGGCCACCTCTCCCAGACCTCCCAAAGGGAGTGTGAGCTGCAGAAATGGCCCGAACTAGCAGATGATGTGCCCCTGGGGCTGCCGCAGGGGACTCTGGGCCAGATCACCATGGGGGGCCCTTCGGAGCCTGAATCCCGGGCTCCAGCCTCTCTCCTGCAGCCCATCTGCGCATAGGACTGGAGCCGGGCACTGCTCCACCACGGAGTTGAACCTCCTCGTCCAGGATCCCCGCGTGGGTTGCTGGGTGTGGGAAAGGGAGCTCCGCTCTGTTCCCGCTGGGTGCGGACCTCAGTTACCGCTTAGTTACAGCCTGCCAGAGGGTCACGCAGCCTGGTTCCTGTGGATGGGGAAACTGAGGCAGAGGAAGGTTGAGTGAGCTCCAGAGTTGTCCTGCTTAACTGAAAGGGGGGGTCCCAGCCTGAGATGAGAGCTTGGGGGTGCAGATTGCTTGATCTTGCCAGCAGCCCAGCCACGTGGAGTGGCCAGAGTGAAGCTGTGTTTAAAATAGGCCAGATGGGAAATCTGGCACCGGGGAGGGCCTGTCCCTGGGGCTCGCTGTGCCATCCTGGCTTTTGCGCCAGGCCTCAGCTGGGGTCCAGGGTTTTAGGGGCCTCTGGCCCTGGGCTGCTTGACCAGGTGCTGTGTCCCATTTCACTGCAGGGAAGGGCCTGGGACGGAGGGCCTATGTTCAAGTCCCCCGGTGCCGGGGCCCAGGCGCTTCCCCTCACAGTCCTGGAGAACTCGGGTGGTGCTGAGCACAGGCCGCTGGGCCTCTTTCCCACCCCTTCATTCAGCTCTGGGGCTGGTGTGAGCCCTCGAAGGGCTGGCTGGGGTGGGCAGGCGCCTGGCACAGTGGTGGGGTTCAGACACTCTCTTCTTGGTCAGGCTGCTTTGAGGGGTGAGTGCAGGCCTGGGCTTTACCCAGCACAGAGCGGGGCCCTGGCAGGACCAGGGTCCAGTCTCTGCTGACGGAGCATTGTGTGCCGAGAAAGAGACTCGAGTGCTTGAACGGCCACATTCCCCTTCTTCCCACAGCCTCCTGTGTAGGAAATCTTATGGAAATTTCCCAAAAGGTGAAGAAGCCTCGGAGAGTTGTGGTTTCTGGGGAAACCTGGATTTCTCTGGTTCCTGGACCCCTTGGGAGGTCTCGGGCTTCCTCGCAGGATTTCTGCCCCTCACCAAATAATTTAAAGTGAAATTACTCTGGAGTGATAAGACATTGTACATGATGCTGCTTAGTTACACAGTGGAGTCAATCTCTGTGCACATTCTGTGTCTGTGAGAGGATAGGAGCTAAAGGATAAGCAGAAACTCTCCTCCTGACCATTCCACAGTGAGAGCAGAGAAAATCTGTTTTATTAGAAATCACTGCAAGCCAATCTCTGCAGAGACGCGGTCTCTCCAGAGGTGCCGGCGCCCTGGATATGGGCACTGCTGGGCACTAAGGATTCTCGGCCCCCAGGATGCTGACCACGTGGGAATCCTGTCTCCAGTTTTGAAAATGCTTAAATCCTGGAGTGTTTCAGAACTGGGGTCACTTCTCACGGCACAGGCTGAGTCCAGTGGTGGAGAGTGGCTTAACATAGTGATTTTCCCAGTTTGTTTTAGTCAATAAACAAATGAATCTATGGATCTCCGTTAGTCCCTGTGCTCCTGACACGTCCATGGCCCCTGTGTGCACACTCAGCAAGTCCGTCTGGCAGCTGCTCGCAAGAGCACGGGGCTAGCCTCTGCCCTGTAGGAGTGACATTCCATAGCCTCACAGGAGCTGGGCTAGCCTCAGCCCCATAGGAATGACATTCCACAGCCGTAGAGGAGCCAGGCTAGCCTCAGCCCTGTAGGAGTGACGTTCCATAGCTGCACAGGAGCCGGGCTAGCCTCAGCCCTGTAGGAATGACGTTCCGCAGCCGTAGAGGAGCCGTAGAGGAGCTGGGCCTGAAGCTGCTTCCAGTGTGGGGAGATGAATCTGCTACACAGAGTGGGTTCCCTCCTAGGAAAATGGGCAAGTCTGGAGGACCAAGGGGGACCTGTGGGGGCCTTGAATATGGGGAGAAGGGATATGGGATGGCCGAGCTGCCTTGCCCAGAGGCAGGGGAGGGGCAGCCTGTGCCCTGGGCCCTCCGAAGGTCCACTTGAGGTTTGACGGGAGGCTGGGGCCAGCGGCCAGGCCGTGTCCTGTTAAAGGCTCAGGCGGGAGCAATGTGCCCGTTTTGGGAGGATGGGGGGCAAGGATGGTGGGGTGATGCCTGCGATGTCCCCCGGGGGAGACCTTGGCCTTGTGTCCGACATCTTGTCATCACAGACAGAGCCCAAGCGTGTTACCTCACGGGGGGCTGTCTTAACTATTTTCCAGTGTGCATGCCAGGCAGCTCTGAGACGGGAAACTGCTCGTGTGTGCGCGGTCTGTGGACGCAGCCCCGCTCCCCTCTGTGCTTCCGCCCGTGTGAGACGTGCTCCTGTGTGGCCGTGACCTGTGAAGACCCTGCGTGACCCGTGGGGCGTGAGGCTCGGGGAGGGCAGGGCTGGGGCTCTGGCCGGGGGCGTCATCCTGAGACTGGCCAGCGTCGGGCTCCTAGACCCGAGTTTCCTTGTCTGCGTGGTGGGGGTAACCTGTCTGCATCTGTGTCACGTGATGGCCGCCGGGATTCAACGTGTGAGTCACTCCACACGATGCCTGATGCGTGCGATGTTCCCCAAGCTCGTAGCTGTCATCGCCGTGACCGTGAGGCTCCTTCAGCAGAGTGGAAGGCCTCACCCCGGACGGAGCGTGGAGGCCAGGAGGGAGGATGGCTGGCCGGTCCGGGACGGCGTCGCTCTGCCCCTCCGGCCGATTCTCAGTCCCATTGGTCAGCGGCTGGGCCGTGACGGAGAGGCCTGCGCTGCTGTTGAGGGCCAGGTCGTGGGTTGAAGTGCGGGGCCCGGGCTCGAGCGTCGGAAGCCTGCGGGGGTCGTGGGTTGAAGCGCGGGGCCCCGGCTCGAGCGTGGGAAGCCTGCGGGGGTCGTGGGTTGAAGCGCGGGGCCCGGGCTCGAGCGTGGGAAGCTTGCCTGTTTGTCGTGTGGGACCGGCCGCGGAGATGCCGGCTGTTCACTTGGAACGAAGGTGCCTGCCCTGTGTGTGCCGGGTAGTTTGGGGGATTGTCTTCCTGTTCGTGGCTTCCGGCGTGTTCCCAGCATCCTGAGGGTTGAGGCTTGGAGGACAGGAATGATCTTCGGCTTGAGAAACCACTGTGGGCAGGTTTTACCAGGGAACCCCTTAAGCTGTGAAAGAGCTGCAGTGCAAGCTTCTAGTTTCCACGCAGACCGCGCCAGAGAACCCGCCGGGCCGCCTCGGGACGGCAGCAGAGGACCCGCCGGGACGCCTCAGCACCGACACGCGCCCAGCCATGAGGCCGCCTTTAGCACGGAGCGTCGAGCGGAAACGGCGGTGCCCGGAACGCGGATGCCCTTTGCAGGGCTGGAGCTCAGCTCTGCCTTCCGACAACACTTGGCTGACAGCTCTGGGAGTCTCAAAACGGTGCCTTTGTGGAGGGGAGGGCCCTGGACATCCTCAGAGGAGGAAGCGCGTCCTGGGTAGGGTGGGCGGCACCTGTTCAACACGCCTAACAGATGCAAGGTCGAAGGAGGAGGGGCCTGCAGATCTGAGCTTGTCGCCGAGGAACTCTCTGGAAATGGCTCCCGCTGGCCCCTGCGTGCGACCCCTACGCTCACCAGCCCGTGTGCCGAGCTTTCTCTGTTGATTTCGGAGTGGGTTCTGGTTCCTGCCTCCCTAGTGGGCTCTGAGTGGCAGGGCCCTGCCGACCGCTGGCCTCAGCAGCGGGTGATGGAGTGTGGGCCCTGCAGGAGGAGGCTCTGTCCTTGATGGCTCCTGGGTGAGGGGGTGTGAGGGAGGCGGCCAGCACAAGGCGGGTGGGCCCTGAGAAGCCCCTCTGTTTCCCCTTTAGCCTGAGAAAGCTGTACCCACAGAGCTGGAGGAGGGAGTGGCTCAGGATGCTGCTTAGCAAATAGGTTGGTCTGGAGTCTGGGAAATGGAGGGTTAGACTTTTTGTTTTCTGAAGCTGGGATGGGTCGTGCTTTTAATTCGTCCAGGAGAACATGGGGCTGAAGAGCTCTCTGCTCTTGTGGCCCCTGATGGGAGTGCTCTGAGGTCTGGCAGGCCACAGAGCTGCTGGGACGGCCTCAGCCCCAAACCTGCGCCTGTCGCTTCCCGGGGCCAGGCCAGAGGTTTCCCAGTGAGAGCTTTGGGGTCGACATTTCCAGGAGGAGAAGGCACTTCTGAAATAGCGTGCCCTTGGTGAGCTTGTGTGGCTTTTCTTTCTCTGTAACCTGCTCTGAGTTGTCCCATTGAGTGTTCTGGGGATGTGGGCATCTGGAGCCTGTGGAGAGGACGGGACTGGGGGTGCGTGGGGGAGACGCCCCTGCCAAGGACAGGGGAGACCCCCTCAGTCCCACCTGGGAGAGTCTGTGCGCGGGGCTGTGGTTGATTGGCTGGCAAGTTTGAATGCGGATCAATGTGCCACTTGTTTCTAAGTCAGCAGGGCCCCTGCCCCCACACACTGAGTGGCTGGATTCTGGGAGCCTTTTCCTGTGGAGAGTGGAGCTGGAGTGTGGGGCGCAGGGCCATGGCCCTGTTCCAGCGTCGGGGAGCTAGTGTGCAGGTGCTTTCTCCTGTTAGCAGTGGGCCTGTGCTGTGCTCCCTGTGGGGTTAGGCGGCCCCGGTGGGAGCTTCAGTCTTGAAAGGGGCTCATAGCCCTGGGGTGCAGGCTGCTGTGCGTGGGGGGCATCACACGCAGGTCCCCAGGATGATGTGTGGTGGAGGACGGGGCGACGGGAGCTCTCCACAGAGCTTCATGTCCCTTCTGTTGTCTAAACCACAGACCCCGTGCCAGGTGAGGGGCTGGGGTGGGTGAGGCTAAGGTACCTGCCCCGAGGCCTCGGGGCACTTGGCGGCCCCTCCACCCCCACAGGAGACATCGGCTTGAGTGGAGAGGCCAGCCTCTGAGAAGGCTTCTCTCTGGCCACCAGCTGCCCAGAGCTCCCAGCCCAGGGCCAGCAGCTTGTGCTGGCCCCAGACAGGGGATGCTGGGCGGCCTCTCGCAGGGGGAGTGGTGGTTTTCAGACAGTGGCTGCCTCGCTTTGGGGATGAGGATGTTTTCCAGACGTGCTCTGGAACTGACATTAGGCTCTGCTGCCTACCCAGCTTGAACAAAATTAGGTCTTTCATTTTTTTGGGTTGCTGGGAATGGCTTTGTGGATGCATAGGAGAGCATGGTTGCTCCAGGAAGTCCGGCGGGGAGTGGGTTGAACAATCGGAGTCTCCCATCCCTGAATCATCTCAGTGGGGGCGGACGGGCAGCTCCTGGGGGTGTGGCAGGGGCTGGGCTCCAGGCTGCCCAGCCTGCAGGGAGCCTCCTTCTAGATTCTTCCTCTGTATCTGTGGCGTGGAGGCATCTGCTGCCTCTGTCTGCCCCCGCCTCATCCTCCAGGTCTTCTCTAGTTTTGTTCCTCCCCATGGAGCCCTTACCCGTGACGTAAGCTGAACACCTGAGAACTTTCGAGCTTGCTTTTCTGTTTAGGTTTGGAAAAAACATGAGAAGGGTGAGTGGGAGCAAAAGGCCAGTTTCTGCCTGGCTCCCTGTCCTGGGAGGAGGTGGGGAGAAGCCTCGGGCAGGGATGAGAGGTTGGGATGTCTGCCCTGAGGGGCTGTGGGCGGGAGGCCGGAGGCGCCTGGTTAATGTGTTTCTGCCCCTGTGTGCGGGTGCAGGGTTCTAAGCTGGGACTCAGGGTGCAGAGGGCACGTGTGTGGGACTTTAAAGTTTGTCATGGAGGCTGAGCCCTGGGGAAGGGCAGCAGCACTCGGCCGGCTGGGCTTCCTTCTCCTGGAGTAGGGTGGTCAGGGAGGCAGGGATATCGGGGAGCGCCACCCCAGGACGGAGCAGGAGGCAGCCTGGAGTCCCCTTTGTAGACCAGATAAGGCCAGGCAGGGCCTGATGTCCGTATTCTATTATTTATTTATTTTAAGTGTGGGGGTCTCGCTCTGTGGCCCAGGCTGAGTGCAGTGGTGTGATTGTAGCTCACTGCAGCCCAGAACTCCTGGGCCTGAGCGATCCTCCTGCCTTGACCTCCTGAGTAGCTGGGAGATGACCCCCTTCTTACCCGTTCTTCCAGAATAGGTCAAATTCACATGACATGTGCACACACACACACACACACACACACACACACAGAAAAGACACCCACGGAAACCCTGAAATATATAAAATGATGTCCAGCCAGTATGATTTGCCCCCTCTGCGCTGCCCCATCTCCGTACCGGGTCAGCCATGGCCCATCTCCTGGAGCCGTTCTCTGCATGCGTGCCACGGTACAGCATGTGTGTGTCTGTGTGTGTTCACTCACTTCTTTTCACATGTGTGGAGTCACTCCGTGTCCTGCCTTGTGCGTGTGGCCCCCTCTCCCTGCATGTCCCCCTCTAGGCTCCGTCGGGCGCTCACGACTTCTCTGACCGGTTTGCAGTGATGGACCTTGAAGCAGGTGCTAGGACTTTGCCGCTGCAAATGGTGCTGCGTGGGGCTCCATGCACATCTTCACGCAAGGTGCAGGTCGGCAGGATGAATTCCTAGAAGCTGCCTGGTGGCTGTAAAAATGTTCTCATCCCAAAGGACCAAATATGCAGAGAAGTTTAACACTCACTTTTCCTGTCATTGAAAAGTTACATTTTTGTGGAAACCCGTCCAGGCTGGAGACAGAAGGTGTGTGCAGGGAGAGGAGGCTCTGGGGCACCACTCTAGGCTGCCTGCTGCTCAGGTGGTTGATGTGGGGGCAGATGCCCTGTTCCTTGGGGTAGGTGCCACCTCCTCCCTGCTCCCTGGGGTAGGTGCATTTTCCTCCCTGCTGCCTGGGGTAGGTGCCGCCTCCTCCCTGCTCCCTGGGGTAGATGCAGCCTCCTCCCTGCTGCCTGGGGTAGGTGCCACCTCCTCCCTGCTGCCTGGGGTAGGTGCAGCCTCCTCCCTGCTGCCTGGGGTAGGTGCTGCCTCCTCCCTGCTGCCTGGGGTAGATGCAGCCTCCTCCCTGCTCCCTGGGGTAGATGCAGCCTCCTCCCTGCTCCCTGGGGTAGGTGCAGCCTCCTCCCTGCTGCCCCGGGGTAGGTGCAGCCTCTTCCCTGCTCCCTGGGGTGGGTGCAGCCTCTTCCCTGCTCCCTGGGGTGGGTGCAGCCTCCTCCCTGCTCCCTGGGGTAGATGCAGCCTCCTCCCTGCTGCCTGGGGTAGGTGCAGCCTCCTCCCTGCTGCCTGGGGTAGGTGCTGCCTCCTCCCTGCTGCCTGGGGTAGATGCAGCCTCCTCCCTGCTCCCTGGGGTAGGTGCAGCCTCCTCCCTGCTCCCTGGGGTAGGTGCAGCCTCCTCCCTGCTGCCCCGGGGTAGGTGCTGCCTCCTCCCTGCTGCCCCGGGGTAGGTGCAGCCTCTTCCCTGCTCCCTGGGGTGGGTGCAGCCTCTTCCCTGCTCCCTGGGGTAGGTGCAGCCTCCTCCCTGCTCCCTGGGGTAGGTGCAGCCTCCTGCCTGCTGCCCGGGGTAGGTACAGCCTCCTCCTCCCTGCTGCCCGGGGTAGGTGCAGCCTCCTCCTCCCTGCTGCCTGGGGTAGGTGATATTTCTGCCCTCCTACCTGATTAGGCTCTGGGGCCACTCTTGGGGATGGGGGAGGAGGGCCGGCCCCCGGGGTGCTGGCCATGGTCCTGACCAGGAGCTGCAGTTGCGGCTCCTCGTGGGCCAGAGGATCCCCTTGTGTGATTCTTGTTTGGCATCCGCCCAGGCCATAGAGTCAGGGGCTTGGCTCACCTCTGGGCAGCTATGGGGAAGGGGCTGGTGTTTGGGAGGTGCCCGAGGAATGATCGGTGGGGGGTGGCTGCTGGGGCAAGGTACACGACCGGCTTCTCTCCTTTACAATTAGCACTGAGCCAGCTTATCTGAGACCATCCCTTCCCACGGGTGCCATTTAATTAGCCAAGAGCTGAGTTAAGATCACGTGAAGAAAGTTGGGGGGGCCTTGGCCTGAGCGGCGGGTGGACAGGGCTGCGTCTGTCAGGGTGAGGGGGTCTGGCGGCCCCTGCCGCCCTCGTTTCTTAAATAAACGTTTGGTCGTGGCTTATTTTCTTCTGACTGCAAAGTAAGCACATCCACCGCAGGAGACTGGGAAAGCGTGGAAAACAGGGAAGGACGTTTGCTCTTCCTGGTTTCTTTCCAGGTGTCTGCGCCCGCCTGTGCGTTTCTAAACAGAATAGGATTCAGGCGGTCCCGTCCCGCTGTGGTGTTAACGGCATACTGTCCACACTTCTCATGGGCAAGATGAGTCTCGCGTGCCAGGTAGTTGGCTTGTCTCTGACCTGGGGCTGCCGCAGCACCTGTCCAGCCACCTGTGGACATGGATGACGGCAGAGTCCCTGTGTTGTGTGGTGTCCCTGCGTGGATGTCGACACCACAGCTGTCCTGGGGACGTGTCCACATGAGGCTTGGGGAATCCACATGTGTCCCATCCAGGGCTGTCCTGCAGGCCCCGGGTCTGCCTGAATGTGATTAGGTGATGAGGCCACCCTGGCCAGGAAGGCTGGTGAGGGGAGAGGGAGGACGCAGGCTGGCCCAGGAGGGGCTTGTGTTGGAACGAGATTCTTTCTGTGGGGTGAGCCCTCCGTCGCCGGAGGTGTGCAAGTGGAGGCCGAGAGAGAGCACTCACTAGGACGTTTGTAGGGGGCCAGGGACTGGAGCTGTGAGCCGTGGACCAGCTGAGGGCACTGGCCTGCTTGGGAGGGGGTTAGGCGTGGCTGTCTCAGGGGGCTGTGGGGGGGAAGGCCTGCTGGGAGCCTCGGTCAGGAGTGCCACTGTTGGGGTGCCCTCAGCACCTGAATGGGTTTCGGGTGGGGCTGACAGGCAGCTTGAGCCCATGAAGGGAGTGTGGGATGTCTCAGGAGGAGCCCCCTTGTTGAGGGTGGGGGGAGCCCCTCTCCACCCCAGCTCCCCTGGGACCTCATGAAGCCTTTGCTCCCCAAAGCTGCTAAGGGCTTGGGTAAGGCCAGGGAGGGACCTGCAGGGTCAGGAGCCCAGGCCAGGCCAAGCAGGGGTCCCCAAAGGTGCTGGGGATGGGGGTGTGCATGACAGGGAAGCTCCGGGGCTCGGGTTTGGGGAGGAGTAGGCTGGGCTGGGATGGGGACACTGGCCAGGGCCAGAGCCAAGCTTCAGCCACAGAAGAAGGGGCGATTCTACAGCTCACAAGGTCCCCGGGTGCCGTCTGCTTCCTGTAGTGTAAACGCACCTGTCCACATTCCAGCCTTCCTACCGAGACAACAGCACCATGGACTGGAGGAGTCTGGAGGGGACAAGGTGTGGTGAGTGTTAACTCTCCCCACCCAAAGCTATCCTATTCAGAGAGAAACTGAGGCACAGGTGGGTGGACACCCTAGGCACAGAGCCACTGATGGGCAGGCAGGTTACCTGTGTGCGCTTGCTGTCCCAGACCTTGACAACACGGTTTATTTTGTTTTTTAAAAATAGAGGTTAAATTATCCTAACATGCAGATAGCATTTTAAAGCGAGTAATTCAGAGGCGTTTAGAGTGGAGAATTTAGTGATGGTCTGCCGCCACCAGCCCTATTTGAAAACTTGTCACCCCATGTGGACACTCTTGCCCTCTGCCATCGTGTGCCCCACCCTGTCCCTGGCAGTTGCCGGTCTCCTGCCTGTCTCTGTGACGTGCCTGTTATTTTATTTTATTTAATTTATTTATTTTTGAGGCAGGGTCTCTTTTCGCCCAGGCTGGAGTGCAGTGTCTCAATCACAGCTCACTGCAGCCTGGACCTCCTGGACTCGAGCCATCCTCCAGCCTCCGTCTCCCGAGTCGCTGGGACTGCAGGTGCCCCACCACATCTGGCTAACTTAAATCATTTGTAGAGATGGGGTCTCATTGTGTTACCCAGGCTGGTCTCGAACTCCTAGGCCCAAGCTGTCCTCCTGCCTCGGCCTCGCCAAGCTCTGGGAGTACAGGCGTGGCCGCCGGGCCTGGCCTGTTTGCTTCGGATGTTTCGTGTAAGTGGAGTTGTCATCGTGGTGCCGTTTTGTGCCTGGCTTTCCTTGCCGAGCCTGCCCTCAGGTTCCTTCGTGTTTAGGGTACTCCTTCATCCTCTCCGTGTCTGGGGGCCGCTGCCTCGTCCTTCCTGTGGCCGCACGGACGGACCTCAGTTTATCTACCCACCCACCAACTGGATGTTGGGTTGCGTCTGCCGTGAGGCTGCTGTGGACACGCGGTGAGTGTCTCTGGACATTTCGTCATTCCTCTTGGGACGAAGCCTGCGTCACATGTGGCCAGGTGCCCTGGGTGGGCCGTGCCCTCCTCATCTCAGCCCCCCAGACCCACACAGGCCCCCTCCCGGAGCCCTCGCCTTGCTCTTCCCGCTGTGCGGAAGGCGGTGCAGTGACGCCTGAGTGTGGGCCCCAGGCCTGGCTGCCAGCCTGGGCTCTCGAGCAGGTTCAACTTGGCCAGGGCAGGGTCTTGGCTGCCGCCTGCCTGGATGTGGGGAGACGCCTCTGTGCAGGTTCTGGGCTGGGCACTTGGGGCCACTGTCTGAGCAGAGGATGTGGGGTCCTGCCTCCGGGAGGGCGAGCAGACCGCTGCTCTGGGGGGACAGTGCTCGGTCAGGCTCAGGGCCCTGGAGAGAATACACCAGGGAGACTTGGGGGCTGCCCGGGGAAGGGATGGTCGGGCAGCCTTTCAGAGAAAGTGACCTGAGATTGAAGCCTGGGGGATGAGGGGGCGGCTCTGGGACCTGCGGGTAGGAGAGGATTCCAGGCAGCAGGAAGTGCACGTGCAAAGGCCCTGGGGCAGGGACGGCGTTTGCTGAGGGCAGGAGGGGAGCAGGGTGGATGGGTCGCGTGGGGTCCACCATGAGGCACTGCAGCGGCCTCGAGGGCCAGGCCAGGGTGGGGTCTATCTTCAGGGCCTGGGGCTCGCCTATGCTGGCTGCCATTCCCACCCAGCTTCTCCACATGCTTCTGGGATCAAAGTGGCTGGTACAGGGGCGCTTCTCTGCGGGCTCAGTGGGTTGGGATGGGGCAGTGGAGAGTGGGTAGCCGGGGCATGCCGGGAGGAAGAGTAAAGTCCAGGGGACCCCAGGCCAGGGGCTGCGAGCCCAGGGAGGTTGCGGGGTCGGGGAGGGCGGGCCAGGACCTCTGCATGGGGCTGGGCTGGGCACTTTGGCCAGCCCTGCTTGGTGCACCGGCTGGGTCTCTGTCCAGCACCTGTGGTCTGGGTGGGACAGGTGACTAATGGAGAACAAATGAGCCCTGCGGAGCTTCCGTCTCCAGGGACCGTGAGCAGGCGCTGCGAAGTCACGAGGCAGTGCCCGGGGAGCTGATTTAACCACGTGCTGAGCCAGCGGGTTTCCTGCCAGGGCCTGGGAGTCTGCCCACAGCTGCAGCTCCCAGAGCCCCTGGGGTGCATGGCGGATGCCCCCTCTTTCTGGGCCGGGGCGAAGGCCCTGGAAGGACCTGTGGTTGCTGCAGCAATGCAGGGGGCTGGGGGTCCCTGTGGGCCTTGGGCGTCTGCTGCGGGAGTGGTTAGGGAGCAACGTGCAGGTGGGCAGGACCCCCGCCTCCAGCTCCTCCACTCCTGTTCCCGAGGGAGCCACAGCTGGCTGAAGGAAGTGGCCATCCTGGGGCCATGGTCAGTGTGGGGCATCGAGAGCCCCCTGAGAGCGCCTCCCTGCCCAGGATGTTGGAAGGAGGGCTGTAGGTGCCAGGTGGGTGCAGGCGGGCATAGGCAGGCCCAGGCCGTTTGGAGGCCGTGAGCATCAGGCTAGCAGCTGGGCCTTCTGAGGACCTGAGACTTCCTGACCTGTGTCCTGTCAGGGTCCAGTTGAGCACCCAGTGTTTGGGAGGCTCGGTCCCACCTGGGTCACCTCCCGTCCCTGCCCCATGGCCTTAGGCTCAGGTGGGTGCTGCCGGAAGCTCCGAATGAGGGTGGACCCTGGCCTGGCAGGTACAAGCCACGCAGTGCTCAGCATGAGGCGGCTCCACGCGAGAGGTCTCTGTGTGCAGCTCTGCAGGAGCGTGGCCCTTGTCCCCTCCAGCCCCGGCGGTCTGCAGTGATCCATCACGCTTGGTTCATGCCCGGTTCACGCCTGGACTCTGTCAGCGGCGCCCGCGCCCGTCACTTCTGAGGTGGGAGGTGGCGTGTGTCCTGGAAACAGAGCAGTTCATTAGATGGTGAAATTAGATTCCAGGTTGCAGCGTGGCGGCTGCCTAATGGACGAGGCGAGCGGGGCCCCCAGGGAGGCTCGAGCAGTCCTGGACCTGGTGCCCACTCCGGCCTCACGCTGGCTTTCTGCTCATCCCCGGGGCCCTGCTGGGCTCCCAGGTCCCCAGCCCCGGGGAGGTGCAGCCTCATCAGCATGGACATTGTTCTGGACAGGGAATTTCTGCCTAAGGAGGCTGCGTGGGACCCCCCAGGACCCCCTGCAGTGGGAGAGGGGTGCATGGTGGGGGCCGTGCAGCCAGCCAGCTCTGGCCAATCCGCACGTGGGCCTCTGAGAGTCTCCGGAGCCTCTGTTTTCCCGACTGTGAAATGGGCACGTGACTGTAGGGCTGCTTCCCTCCTGGCAGGTCATGGGTGTGCTGAGAAGCTTAGCCCGTGGAGTGGGAGTGGGGTCTTGATGTCAGGGGCCCCTCCTGACCCAACCCTGGCTCTGACTGAGGCAGGGGCTGAGGGTGGCGGTGAGGTGGTGACGCCTTCCCTCCTGCCCGCCCATCCTTCACGTGTTCCGTTTTCATTTAACTAAATACGCAAGATGAGATGAACAGCCCTGGCCAACTTGGAGTCAGCCTCTGGGGAAGGGGCCTGACTGGAGGATCCAGAGTCGCAGAGCGAGGGGGCTGGCTGTGGGACTGACTCGGGGGGCCCAGACCCCTCCTGCGTCGAGTCCTCTTCCCCAAGTGCATGAAGCGAGTGAGGAGCGGGGTGGCGGCGTCTGTGTCATGCTTTCCCAGAAAAGAAATATCCCCTTCAACCAGAATGGGGAAGGAAGGCGGGGGAGACCTGGAAGCACAGGAGTCTCCCGGAGGTGGGGGGCCCATGAGCAGAGGGGTCTCCCGGAGGTGGGGGGCCCGTGGGCAGAGGGGCCTCCCGGAGGTGGGGGGCCCGTGGGCAGAGGGGCCTCCCGGAGGTGGGGGGCCCGTGAAGCAGAGGGGCCTCCCGGAGGTGGGGGGCCCGTGAGCAGAGGGGCCTCCCGGAGGTGGGGGGCCCGTGAAGCAGAGGGGCCTCCCGGAGGTGGGGGGCCCGTGAGCAGAGGGGCCTCCCGGAGGTGGGGGGCCCGTGAGCAGAGGGGCCTCCCGGAGGTGGGGGGCCCGTGAGCACAGGGGTCTCCCGGAGGTGGGGGGCCCGTGAGCAGAGGGGTCTCCCGGAGGTGGGGGGCCCGTGAGCAGAGGGGCCTCCCGGAGGTGGGGGGTCCGTGAGCACAGGGGTCTCCCGGAGGTGGGGGCCCCGTGAGTAGAGGAGTTTTTGCATCTCAAGGCCTGAGGGTGCCAGCGTGGGGGCCCCAGGACTGTGGTCCGGCCTTAACTGGGCGGTGGGGGCCCCAGGACTGTGGTCCGGCCTTAACTGGGCACCCCTCTGGCCTGGTGACCCTTTGGTCCCTCCCATGGGCCCCTCCCTGCCCCAACTTCTCCTCTTTGCACTTGGGTCCCAGGTCCCAGGAGGAGATCCCCCGCTGCTCCATGCTCAGTCTGTGACTGCATTCGGGGTGCCTGATCCCCGCCATGGCCTCTCTTGTGATCTGGGGCTGTCTGATGGGCACGGGGCTGGGCTGTGCGTCAGGGACGTGCGGTGAGCCCCAGCCGACGCCCGCGGTCCAGGTGTCCCCCTGCCCCTCTGCTCAGTGGTGGGTGCCAGGGCTCTGTGGATCCTCCCTGCCCCCACCTTGACTCTTTGCCTGAATCTGGGGCTGGGGACCAGCTACTTGCCTTATCTCCTTGGCAACGGCTGCCAGGGAAGCTCCGGAAGTTGAACCCATTATCATAATTAGCTTCGAAACCCTTTGTGTTGTAATTCTGGGCTGCAGAGAAGCTGCTCGGTCCTCCCATCGTCCTCCCAGCGTCCTCCCACCGTCCTCCCATCCTCCCATCGTCTTCCCGCCGTCCTCCCCTCATCCTCCCCCATTCTCCCGTAGGAAGTCTCTTCTTTCTTTTCCTGCAGACTTGGCCGCTGCCTGGGCAGGAGGGGGCGGGCAGCCCTTGCCGAGCCAGCGAGACCTCAGCTGAGTGCCCCGTGGTGGGCTGTGTCCCCCAGCTTAGTGCAGGAGGGGCTGTACCCACACTGTGGGCCTGGGTCTGAGGTGGTGATGGCCCCGTCCCGAGAGGCCTCTGGCAGCTGGCCCTCAGGGAGTGTCCCACATTTGGACGCTCGTCGTGCCTGGGACCCTGAGGCCACATGGGCAGGGAGTGTGTCCCAGTGTTCCCGGGGAGCCTCCTCTCCCGAGGCCTGGGGGATGCCATCAGGGGTCTCCTGCCGCCCTCTCCCTCCCCTGGTTCAGAGGCAGAGGCCCTCACCTGCCTCAGTGAGCCTCAGTTTCCCCTTCTCTAAGATGGGCATGAGTGTGGATGTCTTGGGGACACCACGGTTTGTAGGCGGAGGCCTGGAAGCCCCTGTGTCTTCCCCACGGTTCGGCCGACCGGATGGCTGGCCAGTGCGTTTGGGAACTATCCGCAGTTTGGAGGTTTCTTCCCTGGTCTGTCCTGGGGCCTGGAGCCACGGCCGAGGCACCGGGATCTTTGCGTCCCCCAGACGGGCCCAGACGCACCCCGTGCCGCCTCCTCCCTCCTCCAAGGCTCTTCTCGCACGTCCGTCTCTCTGCCTCCCCTGCACCGGCCGCCCCCGGCAGCGCCATCTGTGCCATCTGTTCCAAAAACTTAAAAAACAAAAGTCGGAGCTGTTGCCTGCACTTTCCGGGTGGGGCTGTGGCAGGAGGGGCAGCGGCGGGAGGGGCAGCTGCTTCCTTCATGCAGGGTCTGCGGGCCGGCGAGGCGGGGGCAGATGGGCGGAAGCTGAGCTGGAAGGAGCTGGAGCCTTCTGAGGGCCTGGCTGCGAGATTCATCTCCCTGAATTCTGGCTTTATTCCTCCTGGTCCACGCCTGCTGGGAGGAGCCACAGATCTCGGCCGCATCCGGCTGCATTCTGTCTCCAGGGTTTCTGGAATGCTCTGAGATGCCTGGTCGGAGCCACCTTAGGAAGCAGGCTGAGTCCTGAACATTTGGGACCTGGGCCTCGTTTTTTTTAGTTTAGAGGAAGGTTCCCTGCAGCCCGAGGAGCTGCCTTCCTGGATGCGGCACTGAGGACTCAGAATTCAAGTCTGTGGGGCTGTCGTTGTCCCCACCCCGCCCTGTTCTCAAGTCTGGTCAGCCTCATCCTCGGTGGGATGCAGATACGCCTGCCCTTCTCTCGCCAGGCCTCCCCAGCGGCTCCTCCCTCTGCTGGGAATGCCCTTCCCCTTCTCCCCCTGTGGCCAACTCCTCTGTATCCTGTAGCCCCCCCGCCCCTGTACACGCCTCCTCCGGGAAGCCCACAGGATTATGTGCGTGGCTCTGCTGGGCTGAGCTGGGTCCCTGAGCCCCTCCTGTGATGTGTGATGCCCTCTGTGTCCCCGCGGCGCCCCTCCTGCCTCCCAAGCCTCTGGGCTCCTGACTGGGAAGCCAGGGACCCCCGCGTCCTCCCCTGCTCCTACCCCGCTGAGAGTTCAGAGAAAACCCCGTTAGGCAGACAGAGGATCGCCCGCAGAAGGCGCACGAGATGTCTGCGCATTTTTCCCAGGGCTCAGTTAATTGAAGAACTTGGCCAACGAGCACAGGAAATTAATCGCGGCTTGGAAATGGGACGTCCCTTGCGTATGGTTTGTCTGCCTGGGCCTCGGCACCACTGCCAGCGCCCCTGCCTGGAGCCGGGAGCTTCGGGGTCCTGGCGGAGGCCTCTGGGTCGCACACGTGGGCGGGGCCGAGTGCCCCCTGGCGACGGTGCCTCAGGGCCAGTGCCTTCGAGCTGGAAGCCGTGGGCCTGTGGCGGCGGGCGGAGGACTGGTGTCTCCTGGGGTGCCCGACACAGGGCCTTCCTGGTGCTGCTGTGCCGACGTCCACCGCGGGGCGGCAGCTGGATAGGGCAGGACCTGGCTGTGGCTTGTGGTCTTGGGGGTGGCGGGGAGGGGTGCAGCGTGGGGCAGGCTCTGGCTCTTGGACCCACCCGGCCTCCACACGCGGTGCTGCGCTTTGAGCTTCTCACTAGGCCCTGGACCCTCCCCTCAGCCTGCAGGGACTATTCTTCCTGGAAGCCCCCGCCCCAACCCCTGCCCCTGCAGCTGGAGCTCCGGCTGGCGCGTCGTCCCGGGCTGAGGCATTCTGGCTGGCCTGTGTGGAGGCTCCCAGTTCCCACGAGGAGGGTCCCGGTGGGGCCTCTCTCTGTGGCTGCAGGCCAGCTGGTGGGGTCCTGGGCAGGTGTGTGGCCTGGACCTGCCCTGGAGCCGAGCTGCCGGCGAGAGACCTGGCTCTCCCCACCACTGTCCTTCAGCATCAGTCAGGGTGTTCTGTGCCTGCACCGCTGAATCAGCCCGTTCCTGCTGCAGTCCCAGGCCTCTGGCCGAGGCCCCTGTGTCCTCTCCCAGCCCGTGATGCCCACTGTATGCATACACTCTGTATACACGCAGCTGCGCCATGGTGCCCGGCTGGTGGCCACGCACCTGCCTCGACGCTGCTGTGCAGGTGTTTTTCGGCATGAACACTTAGCTCAGCGGACTTCAAGTGAAGCTAGTGACCCTCTGCCGTGGGGGTGGGCGTCGTCCCAGCAGCTGAGGCCTTGAGAGCAAAGACTGAGGTTTCCGGAAGAAAAAGGATTTTCCTCAAGACCGCAACATGGAAGTCGTGCTGAGTTTCCAGCCTGCTGCCCTCAGCTCAGAGGCAGGCACTGGATTACAGCTTCTCAATGGCATGGAGCTGGGACGTCCTCGGGGTGTACGTGGGTAGAATCTGAACTTGGGCTCACGCTAGAGATGCTGACAGTTTTCACATGAGACGCTTTAAAATGTGGCTTTGGCCCCTGCGCCTTCATCTTTGGTTTGGGTGCTGGGCCAGAGCCTTCACAGGCACAGTTTCTGCCGCCGCTGCCTGTGGCTGAGCAGTGCCAGGCCTCAGTTGGCTCTGGTGCTGGAATGGGCAGTTGGTGGGGCTGACCTTGGCCGGGCCGCCTGTGCCCGAAGCCTCCACCTCTGCTTCAGACTGTGTGGTCCCGGGTGCTTCTGAAGCACGGCCGTGGTCCTTCCCGGGGCAGATCTTGGGAGGACCACCCTGTGCCCCGCCTTCCCTGCCCTGGACGCCCTGGGCCGTGCAGCAGAGGCCGCTGCTGGGGAGTCGGAAGGTGGAGCTATGGGGACTGCGCCTGCCCAGGCCAGAGGACTCAGGCTGCCTGGACTTGGGGGTCTCCAGCGAGTGGGAGGGGGGCTGCAGGGGGCCATGCTGGCCTCCCCACATCCAGAGGGTGTTCAGTGGGGAGATGACTGGGTCCGGGCAGAGGGAAGCCGTGGGGGTGTCCGTCGTGAATCGAGCCTGGAACAGCATGGCCACCCTCTTGTTCTTGGCTGAAGGGAGCTTGCCCAAGTCCCCAGGTTCTGGAGGCACTTTGCACACAGGATGGGCTTGACACGAGGTCCACGCGGGTTTGTGTCTTTCCACAGGGTCAGGCTTTTATTGATGCTGTTTCAATCACAAAAGCCACGAGCTACGTGGAGTCCCCAAGCAGGCAGGTTCTCCCTAGAGCTTCTGGGTCATGCTGCGGTCACGGCCACTCCATGTTGGTCAGTGTTGCAGACCGTATATTGCCGTGTGCTCATCTGGTCAAATTCCACTTTCCACCCAAAGCCAGGTTTAACATCATGAGGAAAAAGACACAAGACAGAGGGTTAATACCAGCCCAGAGGCCTGGCCTGGGCTGCTGCAGGTGACTGTGAGACAGCGGCGGTGAAGACAGAGGCCTCCAGGGAGAACTGAGCACGGAGGACTGGCTTGTGTGTGTCCTTATCTGGTTGGACTTGGTCTTCATTTTTTTGTTTGTTTGTTTGTTTTTTTTTTTTTTTTGGGACAGAGTCTTGCTCTATTGCCTAGGCTGGAGTGCAGTGGCATGGTCTCGGCTCACTGCAGCCTCCGCCTCCTGGGTTCAAGCGATTCTTCTGCCTCAGCCTTCCAAGTAGCTGGGATTACAGACCTGCGCCACCATGCCTGGCTAATTTTTGTATTTTTAGTAGAGACAGAGTTTCACCATATTGGCCAGGCTGGTTTCGAACTCCTGATCTCAAGTGATCTGCCCGCCTCGGCCTCCTCCCGAAGTGCTGATGCGTGAGCCGCCATGCATGGCCAGGTTTTCTTCTTTTTTGCTTTTTGGTTTTTAAACAGACATCTTATCCTTCTTGGTAGAGTGCCCTGTGAGACAAAATGGAGTCTTTTCCTAAGATGGAGTTAGTTATGCCAAGGGCTCTCTGCACAGGTCTGCCCTCCCCTGCTTCCAAGCCCCCGCAGCCTCGGCTCCACAGACGCTGCTCTGCCAGCTCTCACCTGGGCGCCTGCCACTCTTGTTCAACCTTGACCCCACCTTGACCCTGTGTGACCTCTGCGCTAGGGATCTCCTGGCTTCCCCCACCCCCAGCAGGTCTTCCCCCACCCCCAGCAGGTCTTCCCCCACCCCCAGCAGGTCTTCCCCCCACCCCACCAGCAGGTCTTCCCCCTCCCCCCAGCAGGTCTTCCCCCTCCCCCCAGCAGGTCTTCCCCCACCCCCCAGCAGGTCTTCCCCCCACCCCCCAGCAGTCTTCCCCCACCCTACAGCAGGTCTTCCCACACCTCACAGCAGGTCTTCCCCCTCCCCCCAGCAGGTCTTCCCCCTCCCCCCAGCAGGTCTTCCCCCACCCCCCAGCAGGTATTACCCCACCCCCCAGCAGGTCTTCCCACACACCTCGGGCGGTGTTCTACCACCCCCCAGCAGGTCTTCCCCCCACCCCCCAGCAGGTCTTCCCCCCACCCCCCAGCAGTCTTCCCCCACCCTACAGCAGGTCTTCCCACACCCCCCAGCAGTCTTCCCCCACCCTACAGCAGGTCTTCCCACACCCCACAGCAGTCTTCCCCCTCACCCCAGCAGGTCTTCCCCCCACCCCCCAGCAGTCTCCCCACCCCACAGCAGGTCTTCCCCCCACCCCCCCAGCAGTCTTCCCCCACCCTACAGCAGGTCTTCCCACACCCACAGCAGGTCTTCCCCCTCCCCCCAGCAGGTCTTCCCACACCCCCAAGCAGGTCTTCCTCCACCCCCCAGCAGGTCTTCCCCCACCCTACAGCAGGTCTTCCCCCACCCCACAGCAGGTCTTCCCCCACCCCACAGCAGGTCTTCCCCCCCACCCCCCAGCAGTCTTCCCCCACCCTACAGCAGGTCTTCCCCCACCCCCCAGCAGGTCTTCCCCCCACCCCCCAGCAGTCTTCCCCCACCCTACAGCAGGTCTTCCCCCACCCCACAGCAGGTCTTCCCCCACCCCCCAGCAGGTCTTCCCCCACCCCCCAGCAGTCTTCCCCCACCCCCCAGCAGTCTTCCCCCACCCCACAGCAGGTCTTCCCCCCCACCCCACAGCAGGTCTTCCCCCACCCCACAGCAGGTCTTCCACCCCACAGCAGGTCTTCCCCCCCACCCCACAGCAGGTCTTCCCCCACCCCACAGCACGTCTTCCCCCACCCCACAGCAGGTCTTCCCCCCCACCCCACAGCAGGTCTTCCCCTACCCCACAGCAGGTCTTCCACCCCACAGCAGGTCTTCCCCCTCCCCACAGCAGGTCTTCCCCCCACCCCCCAGCAGTCTTCCCCCACCCCCCAGCAGGTCTTCTGGGGCTCTGCCCCCAGGGGTGACTGCAGCGCCCAGTGCTGCCTCAGGGAGTCCTGGCCCTTGCATGGGGCAGCCACAGCGTCCCACACCTGGGGCAGCCCCAGGGCCCTGGGAGCGGGGGCAGGCATCAGTGCTGCCTTATTCCTGGAAGCCTAAAGCCACTTGGGGAGGGAGATCCAGCCCTGACCTCATGTGTGGTGGCCTTGCTGGGCCTCTGCGGCCGCCCTCGTCCGGCACGTGTGCTGGGCCGTGACCTCTGGAAGAGCAGCCAGGGTTTCGTCTAGGTCCCTCCGGAGCAGTGGGAAGAGGGTTTGGGGCACTTCGTCCCTTTGGGTGAGGGAGGGGTGGGGGAGGAGTGGTGGTGGAGGTGAGGGGCCTGTAAGTGAGGGACGGGGTGAGGCGGGGTGAGGGGCCTGTAAGTGAGGGAGGGGGTGAGGCGGGGTGAGGGGCCTGCAGGGGCAGAGGCAGTGAGCTCGTGTGGTGGCGGGCGGGTTCCAGGGGCGCAGGCAGCGCAGGGTTGTGTGCTGGGTGTGGGTGCTGGTGATGGCACTGATGGTGCGGGACGGGGTCTGCTCTGAGTGCTGTGTGTCAGATGTGGGCCCAATTACGTGCTCCAATTGCTGCCACCACCCAGTGGGCTGGTCCTGGTTTGGGGGCTCAGAGCCTGAGCCTGGGGTGATGGGGGCCCCGGGTTTGTGCCCGGATGGCCTGGCCCTGTCCTTCTGCCTCCGCGGCCAAAAGTCTGAGAAGTCTCCCTGCAGGCCGCAGACACTGGGGCTTCCCTCTTCCCTCTTCTCCCAGGAGCTCAGACGCTGGGGCTTTTCCCTCTTCTCCCGGGCTGTGGAGCTCGGCCTTTGGTGAGTCCCTCCTCTCTCTGCGGTGCTCCCCAGGGGCTCTCCCACAAGACAGTGAAGCCGTGAGCAGAGTGGGGTCCTCTTCCCACCAGGCACCACAGCCAATGCTGACCTCTGCTCCCCAAACCCTCCAGACCCTCCAGGCACTGCGGCCAACGCTGACCTGTGCTCACTAAATAGCTCCGCACATCGAGGACTTGTTTTTTCCTTTTTGATCCGTGGCAGCTTGTGTCACAGCCGCGTGGCTTGTCTGCCCAGGGAGGAGCTGTGGGTCAGAGTAGCATGTGGCCACAGCATGGTGGAGTCAGGCGTGGGCTCGCAGCAGGGACACACCGATGTCAGCTGCTCATAGCGTGAAAGGTCATGGTCTTTTATTTGCAAGGGGCAGAAAACAAATGCAAAGGGTTGTAAGGAATGGGCTTACATAACCTGGAAGTCCAAGGGGCTTCAGGCACAGCTGGATCCAGGTGCTCACATTATGTGTCTTAAGGCCTCTTCTCCCATCCTTCTGTGCTGCCTTCCTCATGACCTCATCTTCAGGCAGGTTTTCCTGTGCCCACCCGTCCTCCTGCCAGTGCCCCAGGCCTGCCTCCTCCTAGTTGGCAACCTTTGTGGGAAGGGGGTGTCTTATTCCTGGTAGTTCCAGCAGAGATTCTGGGGCCACCACTCGCTGGCCGTGGTTGGCCAGCCTCGATCCCATGAGCATCCCTGCACCCCCAGACTGGAAAGGAAATTGCAAGGCTGAGACAGGAGGGGTGGGTCTAGACAGGTGCTGTGATGCTCCGAAGCTCCAATGATGAGGGGGCGTGACCAGTCTGGAGAGACTCCCCCCCAGGATGCCCATGCCTGTGGCCAGTGCCCCGGCCCAGCAGGTCAGGGGTGGGCGTATCCGGGCTGGAGGGACTTCCCCCAGGATGCCCGTGCCTGTGCCCAGTCTCGGCCCTGCAGGTCGGGGCATCCAGGGAATATTTCCTCTGTGGGAGTGGGGAGAGGGGAGCGGGGACACTGCCCGGAACCCAGGCTGGACTGCAGCACTGCTTTGGGGACAGAGGGAAGGAGATCCTGAGTGTGGGGAATCTCCCTCCCTTGACACCCACCTGGATGTGGGCGCCGGGGAAGGGCTCGGGTTTGAGACACAGGAGGGCCCCACAGGCTCCGTGGCGGTCGTGTGGTGCCGCAGGGTGTGCAAGGTGATGGCGAGTGTGAAGACAGTACAGGGGCGCGGACACGGGGAAGCGGCTGCTCTGTGGCTCCGTCCCCGCCGGCTCCTGGTTCTGAGCACGGTTGGAACGAGAGGCAGCAACACGGTCAAGGTGAAGGCGTCTCTCACATTGCCTGGAATGAGGGCGTGTCCCACGCATGGCCTCCTTTATGGCTGTGACGAAGGACCTGGACGTTGGACACGTCCCCTTCACATCCCAGAACACCTGCGAAAAATGTAAATGAGACAAAGCATTTGCTTCCTGCGAAGTGGGTTTCTCTCTGGTGTGCATTCAGTGACTTCAGCACGCGGGAGTTGGCTTTCCTGCCAAAGCGGCAGCTTGAGGCTCTGGGTTGCACAGCTTTGCTCCCAGGAAGAGCTGGGAGATCTTCTATGTCTCTTCTATGTGGGTGGCCTTGTTGCAGCCACAAGCCGGGTTCCCGCGGCAGGGTCTTCGGGGGCTAGCGGGCTCCTCCTGTCTGCAGCTTCCTGGGGTGGGCAAGGGAGCAAGTGTAGCAGAGTCGCTTGTATCAGAGGAGAATGCAGGGCTGAGAAAAAGTCACGCATTTGGGCCGAGCATGGTAGCTCATGACTGTAATCCCAGCCCTTTGGGGGGCCGAGGCGGGAGCATCACTTGAGCCCAGGTGTTCGAGACTAGCCTGGCCAATGTGATGAAACCCCATCTCCACTAAAAAAATACAAAAATTAGCCTGGTGTGGTGGCACATGCCTGTAATCCCAGCAACTCTGGAGGCTGAGGCGGGAGAATTGCTTGAACCCGGGAGGCGGAGGTTGCAGCGAGCCAAGATCACGCCATTGCACTCCAGCCTGCGCGACAAGTGAAACTGTATCTCAAAACAAAACAAAACAAACAAAAACAAAAATACCCACATGCATTTGGGGGAATTTTGGTGGGGTGTGAACTTGAGCATCTGAGGGGAAATTGAAGAAGGATCAGTGAGTGAGGTAATCGCGTGGGACGTGAATGGGAAGAGCAATCATGGTGGAAGTCACTGGCGGGAGGAGGTGCCTGCAACCCGGGAGGAAGGAGAAACGGAGCCTCCTGGCAGCCAGGACGAGGCTGGAAAGAAGGTGATCCGAGGAGCTCCTGTTGCTTGGCTCCGGGTTTAACTGGCAGAGAGAAGCCCTCTGCGTTGGGGTCTGGAGGAGGTGGCCGAGAGTGAGGAGAGGGGAAGGCTGATCGGTGCCTTCTGCCCCAGGGGTTTTGCTTGTTCCTGTGTTTGTAGCAGTTGATGGGCAGGCCTTGCTGTTCCCATTTGACTGAGAGTTTTGGAGACGTTGCCAAAGGATGAGGCTGCCAGGCTGAAACCAGACAGAAGGGGCAGGGGCCAGAGTGGAGAGGGGGGTGCGTCCTGGAGGGGGCAGCTGCGCATAGAGGGGGCAGCTGCCACTGTGGAGTTCAGGGTCCCGGGAGGTGGCTATGGGGGTGCCCTCTGGCCTGAGCGAGCTCTGGTGGGGTGGGTGGGGAGTGGGGTCCTGCGTTCTGGAGACGCGGCCATGCTGGTGCCCTGCTGCGGCCTGGTGGGGAGTGGGGTCCTGAGTTCTGGAGACACAGCCATGCTGCTGCCCTGCTGCGGCCTGTCTGAGAGCGCGCGTTCCCTGCCCCCAGGTTCCTCCTGGTTTTCTCCTGCCTCGTGCTGTCTGTGTTTTCCACCATCAAGGAGTATGAGAAGAGCTCGGAGGGGGCCCTCTACATCCTGGTGAGCCCCGAGGGAGGGCGGGGGCTGGAAGTGCCCAGGAAGGAGCTGGAGCTGCCTGGGCGTCTGTCTTCCGTTCCTGTTACTACAGGGCCTCTGACGCCCCCAGCCCCAGCTCTGGCCATGTCTTTGTGCCCTGTCAGTTCCCATCTGCCCCCAGCCCCACAGCCCGGGCTATGCCCCAGCCCCACCCTGGCTGTAACTCAGCCCTCACCTCACCCCTCCTGGTGACCTCACAGTGGCTGACAGCCCCGCCTCCATCGCCCCCACCCTGGGTGGGCCACCCTCCCTTTCCCATCCCCACTTTATCTCTGGAGCCGGAGATGTGGGGCGTCCCCAGCAGACGGCAGACGTGGGCGTCGGGGTGGGGGCTGTGACGCTTGCAGCAACCCTGTGCCAGGGCAGGGTGGGCGCCATGGCAACGGGAGTGCAGTTCCTGTGTTGCTGTTGGTAACGGGGTGGGGGGCCCTCAAGGAGACTGGTCCCCATCCAAATGCACCTCCCTCTACTGCCCGCCCTGCTCCTCTGTTCTGGGGCTTCCCAAGGTCTGGGTGGAGACTGTGGCCCCCTTTTCAGTTACCTGGGGCCTTCCCTCAGCTCAGCCCTGCTGTGCACCCCCCAACTCAAGGCAGGTCCCCCACTGGCTCAGACAGGGTCCCCCAGCTCAGACAGGGGCCCCCAACTCAGATAGAGTCCCCCAGCTCGGACAGGGCAGCTCCCCAACCAGCTCAGACAGGGTCCCCCAGCTCAGACAGGGCCTCCCAGCTCAGACAGGGTCCCCCAGCTCAGACAGGGTCCCCCAGCTCAGACAGGGTCCCCCAGCTCAGACAGGGCCTCCCAGCTCAGACAGGGTCCCCCAGCTCAGACAGGGCCTCCCAGCTCAGACAGGGTCCCCCAGCTCAGACAGGGTCCCCCAGCTCAGACAGGGTCCCCCAGCTCAGACAGGGCCTCCCAGCTCAGACAGGGTCCCCCAGCTCAGACAGGGTCCCCCAGCTCAGACAGGGCCTCCCAGCTCAGACAGGGTCCCCCAGCTCAGACAGGGTCCCCCAGCTCAGACAGGGCCTCCCAGCTCAGACAGGGCCTCCCAGCTCAGACAGGGTCCCCCAGCTCAGACAGGGCCTCCCAGCTCAGACAGGGTCCCCCAGCTCAGACAGGGTCCCCCAGCTCAGACAGGGTCCCCCAGCTCAGACAGGGCCTCCCAGCTCAGACAGGGTCTCCCAGCTCAGACAGGGCCTCCCAGCTCAGACAGGGTTCCCTAGCCCAGATAGAACCCCCTAGCTCAGACAGGGCAGCCCTCCCAGCTCAGACATGGTCCCCTAGCCCAGATAGATCCCCCAGCTCAGACAGGGCCACCCCCCACAGCTCAGACAGGGTCCCCTAGCCCGGATAGAGTCCCCAGCTCAGACAGGGAGGTGGGGAGGGTGGCCCCATGGTGTTCATGCTCAGCTGTGTTCCCGGATGCAGGGTCTCCAGAGGGCCCAACCCTTCCTGCCCAGAGGCTGGAGAGGGGTGGGGGCCCTTTGGGGGGTCAGCTTGCAGTTTCCTTTGGGGGCCTCCTGCCCTGTGGCTTGGTCCCTGGGCCAGAACTGCTCCTGTGGGTGTCCAGGCTGGGCCCCCAGGCCCTCCCCCAGGCCTCAAGGTGGCCTCAGCTTTCCTCCCCTGCAGGAAATCGTGACTATCGTGGTGTTTGGCGTGGAGTACTTCGTGCGGATCTGGGCCGCAGGCTGCTGCTGCCGGTACCGTGGCTGGAGGGGGCGGCTCAAGTTTGCCCGGAAACCGTTCTGTGTGATTGGTGAGGCCTGGTGGGGGTGGTATTGCTAGAATCAGGGCCAGGCACCCAGGGACGGACTCAGCCCTGGGGGGAGCTGGGGCGTCTGCGTGGGCCAGAGAGGCTGGGCAGGACTGGCTCCTTCTGGAAGTTTCTTTTCACCTGCTGACTTGGAGTCAGAGGCTGTGGTTAACTCTGCCTAAATGTCAGGAAGAGGAATGTGGCGCTGGGCTGCCCATCCTGGGCCCCACAGGCAGGGTGGACGATAGTAATGTCTTTCCTGGGGCCTGACAGAGCCCACACCAGGCGCTGGGCATACACCTTCCCGCCCCTCTGCACATCCTCCTGGAACGCGGGGTGGGGAGTTTTCTCCAAGGGGGTGCGGGGAGCGGCCCAGCAGCTCACCAGCTCCACGCCCGCTTTGTAGACATCATGGTGCTCATCGCCTCCATTGCGGTGCTGGCCGCCGGCTCCCAGGGCAACGTCTTTGCCACATCTGCGCTCCGGAGCCTGCGCTTCCTGCAGATTCTGCGGATGATCCGCATGGACCGGCGGGGAGGCACCTGGAAGCTGCTGGGCTCTGTGGTCTATGCCCACAGCAAGGTGAGTCACGGCCCCAAGGCTGGCGGTGGGCGCCCCCAGCCAGCGAGAGTCCTGGCCCAGACCGGGCCCCACCCCTGCCTGGGGTTTGCTTCAAGAGCCCTGGGTGGAGGGATGGAGTCAGTGGTGGCTCTGGCTGGAGCCCATCAGGTGTGAACGAGCCTCCCTCCCCTTTCTTCTCGGTGCTTCTTCTCGTGACTTGGGCCATCTTTGTCATCTGTCTCCAGAAAGCTGCTTTTTCGAAAGGCCAGGCCAGGCCATTTTGGCCCCTGCCACCCCCACCTTCCTGCCGCGAACCCTTGGCTCTGTGGTTGGGTGTCTTCTTTCCTGGGTTTTTAGTGCCTGGATCAATACAAAGTGCTAGTCACCTGCCTGGTGGTTGTTTAAGCTGCGGCTTGCGGCGGCCGCTGTCCGGGGGACCCAGAGGGTGGCTGTGGCCACACATGCTGAGTTCCAGGGGCCCCAGGCCCCCCAGTGACCGAGACCCCATCCTGCCAGACTGTGCTGTCCCTCCACCTTGCTCACGGGTGGGCTCATTTGCTCAAATGGCCCCCTCCCCATTTTCTTCCCTCTTGAGCCCTGGCAGGGTGGTGGCTTTGTCTGCAGAATGGGCAGGGGTCAGCCCCCGGTGGCCCCTCTCCCTCCCTGGACGCTGTGGGGGTTGAGTGCTGACTGCAGTGGGCACCCTTTTCACATCTGTGCCCGGAGGCTCAGGGAGGTTGGGGGAGGGTCTCAACAGTCCCAAGACTCTCCAGCCCTGCTGGCCGCCAGAATAGACGCTACTGACCCTGGAGGGCACGGTGGGCTGGCCATGCGAGCCACTGTTGCCCAGGCCAGGAGGCTCAGGGGAATGGGCTGCCGTAGCTAAGATGGTGAAGCCAGCGGCGCCTCCTGGTTCCCCTGTGCCAGCCCTGCCACCGACCCTGGCGTGGAGCCTCTGCTGGCCTCAGGAGACGGGTCCATCCAGCCCCTATATCCCTGGAGACAGAGCCCAAAGTGGGCTGACTGGCGAGGCTGCAGTGCTCCTGGAGGCAGGTGGCGGGTGGTGATGGTGGTGAGGGTGATGGTGGTGATGGTGGTAGTGATGGTGGTGGTGGTGGTGATGGTGATGATGGTGATGGTGGTGGTGGTGGTGATGGTGATGGTGGTGATCGTGGTGGTGGTGATGGTGATGGTGGTGGTGATGATGGTGGTGATGGTGGTGATGGTGATGGTGGTGGTGATGGTGATGGTGATGGTGATGATGGTGGTGATGGTGATGGTGGTGATGGTGATGGTGGTGGTGATGATGGTGGTGATGATGGTGCTTTTGTTTGTCTGATGGTGGTGATGGTGATGGTGGTGGTGGTGATAATGGTGATGGTGGCGGTGATGATGGTCCTGGTGATCCTGGTGATGATGGTGGTGATGGTGATGTGATGTGGTGATGGTGTGTGGTGGTGATGGTGGTGATGGTGGTGATGGTGGTGGTGGTGGTGGTGATGGTGATGGTGGTGGTGGTGATGGTGGTGATGGTTTTGGTGGTGGTGATGGTGGTCATGGTGTTGATGTGATGGTGGTGGTGTTGGTGGTGGTGATGGTGATGCTTCTGGTGATGGTGGTCATGATGGTGGTGCCGTCTGCCTCTCAGGAGCTGGTCACTGCCTGGTACATCGGCTTCCTTTGTCTCATCCTGGCCTCGTTCCTGGTGTACTTGGCAGAGAAGGGGGAGAACGACCACTTTGACACCTACGCGGATGCACTCTGGTGGGGCCTGGTGAGTTGTGGTCATTGTGGTTTTCCCTTTCCCTGCTGATACACCCCTGTCCCTGTGCTGGGACCAGGCTCTCACTGGCTGAGCCTGCTCCATACATCTCTTTGGGGCCACCTGCTGGCTGCCCGTGGTCATGATGGCTTGTGGTCGAGGCGGGGTGGTGGTTGCCAAGCTGGCGGGGGAGTGGGTGGGGAGGGCTGGGCCCCAGAGAGCCTGAGCTCAGCCGTGGTGGGCATCTTCCTTCCTCCTGAGCTCAGCCGTGGTGGGCATCTTCCTTCCTCCTGAGTGACCCTCCACCTGCTCCGTGTCCCGATTATTGGGGGAAAGGGGAGAAGAGGCATCCCTAGGAGATCTGTCCTGGGCAGCCCTGAGTTTTTGGAGACTAGGTGGCTCTGCAGGCCCCACTCTGATCAGGTCTGAACAGATCTGGCCCCTGGGCTCCTCCTCACCTGGGGCCACAGACACCCTCAGGCTGCTGGTGCACAGGGGCAGGGTCTGTGCTCTCCTGGGAGGCTGAGACCAGACCCTGGGCCTAGCCCCGCACATGCCGGCTGAGTGGGCTCAGCCCTGCGGGGAAGGCATGGGCAGCTCCACCTGGTGCCTAAGCCGGATGCAGCTGATCCGAAGTTATTTTATTAATTTCATGAGACCTGGACACTGTCTTCCCAGTCGGGGCTTGGGTGGGGGTTGAGAGCTGAGCGTGCCCTGGGGCCCAGGCTGTGGACCATACAGATGACCTGGACTCACTGAGCCATCTTGTGTGGTTCAGGCCCCACCACAGGGTCAGGGTGGGGCCCGGGGCGTCCTGAGCTGTGACTGCTGGGCCCTAGGACTTTTGATGGGGACAAGCCCATCCCCCAGGTCTTTTGTGGGCAACAGCCTTCTTATCTTTACGATTGGGTGTTTTTTCAGAGTAATGCTTGTGTATATTTTTAAATGTCAGAGAGTTACTAAGCCTTATGGTGAGAATAGAGCCCCACTCTGTGGCCGCGGTGCCCTCCCCTCTGGGTCCCTCTGCAGCGGATGCGGCTGCTTCTGTGTTTTTCTTTGGGGTTTACCTGATTAGTCTTAAATAGCAAATAGGGATGCTGGTATTTCCTGATTCAAACGCGCTGACTGTGTACCTCCTACTGGGATGAGATCTACCCCCAGTTTCCCTTTCTTGCAGCCTTTGGGGGTTTTCAGCAGTGTGGGGGGAACCCCGCCCTCACCTCCCCCGCAGGCCAGGCCCCATCTGCCAGGCCTCCGGCTTCCTTTTCCTTGAGTTGGCCTCCACTTTGAAGGAGCAGTTCGGATGTCTAGCTGAGAACATTTCAGGGGCAGAAATTTTTGGAGAGCTGTGTGTGAAAGTGTCCCATCCATCTGACCCCCCTGGGGAGGGGTGCAGGGCCTGGCCCCCTTCCACAGACTTGGCCCTCAGTGGGACCCGGGCTCAGAAGCTGCTCCGAGATTCTCTGGCTTCTTTCGACTCCCCTGTCCCCTACAACATTCTGGCCAGGGTCCATGTCTCACTTCCCCGCCCGTCTCTCTGCCATCTCTGTCTCTCTGTCTCTCTCTCTCTCTTTTCTTTTTTTTTTGAGGCAGGATCTTGCTCTATCATCCAGGCTGGAGTGCAATGGTGCAGTCAAAGCTCACTGCAGACTCAACCTCCCGGGCTCAAGTGATTCTCCTGCCCCAGCCTCCTGAGTAGCTGGGATTACAGGCATGCACCACCACACCTGGCTAATTTTTGTATTTTTAGTAGAGACAGGGTTTCACCATGTTGGCCAGGCTGGTCTTGAACTCCTGGGCTCAAGCGATCCACCAGCCTTGGCCTCCCAAAGTGCTGGGATTACAGGCGTGAGCCACTGTGCCAGGTCCATATCTCTCTGTCTGTATCTCTCTGTCTCTGTGTATCTCTCTGTCTCTGTCTTTATCTCTGTTTCTGTTTCTCTATCTCTTTGCATATCTGTCTCTGTCTCTTTCTCTGTCTCTGTCTCTGTCTCTCTCTGTCTCTGTGTATCTCTCTGTCTCTGTCTCTGTCCCTGTGTATCTCTCTGTCTCTGTCTCTCTCTGTCTCTCTATCTCTGTATCTATTTCTCTCTATCTCTATCTCTCTATCTCTGTCTCTCTCTCTCAGTATCTATTTTTCTGTCTCTATCTCTGTCTCTATTTCTCTCTATTGCTCTGTTTTTGTCTCTCAGTCTCTGTATTTCTATCTCTGTCTCCATCTCTCTGTCTCTGTCTCTCTGTCTCTCTCTCTGTCTCTATCTGTCTCTGTTTTTCTATCTCTCTGTCTCTTTATCTCTCTGTCTCTATCTCTGCCTTTGTCTCTGTCTCTCTATCTCTATCTCTCTGTCTCTGTCTCTCTATCTCTCTGTCTCTGTCTCTATCTCTGTCTCAGTCCCCATCCTCTCCCTCCTGGTTTTCCGCCTTCCCCCTCAACCCTTGCTGTCCTGTGGTTAAGTTGAGAATGGCAGTAGTCTTAAAAAACATGCCTCCTGGCTGGGCACAGTGGCTCACACCTATAATCCCAGCACTTTGGGAGGCTGAGGCAGGCGGATCACGAGGTCAGGAGATCGAGACCATCCTGGCTAACACGGTGAAACCTGTTTCTACTAAAAATACAAAAAATTAGCCGGGTGTGGTGGCGGGCGCTTGTAGTCCCAGCTACTCGGGAGGCTGAGGCAGGAGAATGGCGTGAACCTGGGAGGCGGAGCTTGCAGTGAGCCGGGATCACGCCACTGCACTCCAGCCTGGGGGACAGAGCGAGACTCTGTCTCAAAACAAACAAACAAACAAACAAAAAACCATGCCTCCTTTGGTAACGAAATTGTGTAGAGGGCTGAGGCCCTGGCTTAGTCTCCCCAGGAGAGGTTTCTTGGTCAGGCCTCGCCCAGCCTCCCGCCCACTCTGTGTGGCAGCCTCCTTCCCAGAGTCTCCTGTGCGCTCCGCGTGGTGGTGGTAGCCAAGGCCCCCAGGTGCTGGCGCTGCTTTGCACCAGGCCACAGCTTCCTGTCGGTGTGGAGCAGGTGCGGCCCAGCTGGCCCACCCTGTCCTCAGACCACACAGCAGCGTCCTCGGAACCCAGGGTAAACTCCCCAAGGTGGGGCTGCAGGTCCTGGTGAGAGGTCTCCCCTTCCCGGCCCTGCTGTCTGCGCTCAGGCCTCGATCCCTCCGTCTGTTTATCTAAGACTCTGCCCTCACAGGGCCTGTCCTGGGCCCACCTTCTGGTCCTAGCCAGAGTGGCCTCCGTGCGGCTGTCCTGAGCCCGTGGCTTGTGGTGCGTGCGGTTCTGGCAGGCGGGGGTGGGCTGCGGCCCCAACATGTCCAGCACTGAGTGCAGGGTGCCTGCCCCTGCCTTCCTCGGCCCCGGCACAGGCATCTCTTGTCGGAGCTGCTTGGAGACGTGTCCGTCCTTCGCTTCCCCTCATCCAGGCCCCGAGTCGGGTGCTCCTGGGCTTACCGGGACCCTTGGGGAGGTCCAACCTGGCCTGACCTCCCCCTTGCCCACCACCCCTAGAGAAACTAAGCACAACCCCTGGGGTCCCTGCTCCAGGAGCAGCCCACCCCGCCATGGCTCGGTGGAGACCACTCCCCCGCCTCTTGTGGTGGCCTCCTCCTGCCCACCCCTCTCCTCTGGCCTCAGCTCAGCTCAGGCTCAGCGAGCCCCCTGCACGCCCTGCCCGTTCCTCTGGGTCCCTCTGGGCACTCCCTTCTCCCCAGCTGCACTCTTCACCTGGCGGGGATGCAGTGGGGGCTGCTGTCCTAGCCGAGCCTCGTGGGAGTCACGTCGCTGGGCCTCTGGTTCTCGATGTGAGATGGGGACACAGCCTTTGGCTGGACCCCGCTTCTGGCCTGTAGGGGAAGAGGAGAGAGGGCTCAGGGGATGAGGGGCGGCCGACACCGACCCTGGCCTCACTGGGCCTCCGTGTGGATGGTGACACGGGGGTGGCCCCGCATCTGTCCCATCCCAAGCCCCGAGTCGCCAGCGGGCGTCCAGCCTGCCCTCAGGGGTGTGAGCAGGCCCTTCGTGTGACTAGAGCCTGCGGTCCCACAGATCACGCTGACCACCATTGGCTACGGGGACAAGTACCCCCAGACCTGGAACGGCAGGCTCCTTGCGGCAACCTTCACCCTCATCGGTGTCTCCTTCTTCGCGCTGCCTGCAGTAAGTCCAGCTGCCCCTGCCTGCCTTGGAGGGGGACGAGGTCTTGTAGGCTCCCGAGGTGACCACAGGCCCCTGGGCACAGTTCCCTAGGTGGGACCTGGGGCAGGAGCAGCTCTCAGCAGGTCCACAGCCCCCAGGAGCTGGAGGTGGCAGCTCAGGGTCAGAGGCCTTGTTCCCCAAGGACTGGAGTGGGGGTTCCCCAGCCCCGACAGGAGCATGCCCAAGGCTGCGGCTGTAGCTTCAGGGGGCTCTGTTAGTCACTGGTGGCCCCTCTTAGTCTGAGTGGGGCTGAGCAGGAGGTCCTTGTGACCAGGAGCAGGGCGGCTGGTGACACAGGTCCCTCATGGGTCTCTAGGCAGTGAGGCCCACCCAGCTCAGAGGGAGGTGGAGGGGCCCTGTCAACCCTTGTTGCCCCAGGGCAGGGCAGGGCAGGGCAGCTGGTGCACGGCAAGAGGCTGGCCCCGGTGTCCCCTTCACTGTGTGCCCTTCAAGATGGGCCTGCAGACTCTTCTGTGTGGAAGGGAAAGAGGCCACTCTGAGTTCAGTGTGGGTCCTGCCATGTCTCCTGCAAGCCAGAGGGTTCCTTCCTCTTGATGCTGACAAATTGTGGGGATATGGGTTCCTGGATTAGTCTGACCTTGATGAAGGTGGGGGAGGCATGGATCGGTGGAGACGGGTCTGACCCTGATGAACTGGGGGGTGTGTGAGTCCCTGGGGCGTGGTCTGACCCTGATGAATTGGGGGGTGTGTGAGTCTCTGGAGTGTGGTCTGACCCTGATGAATTGGGGGGGGTGTGGGGCCCCAGAGCATGGTCTGACCCTGATGAATTGGGGTGTGGGGGGTCCCTGGGGTGTGACCTGACCCTGATGAATTGCAGGGCATCTTGGGGTCTGGGTTTGCCCTGAAGGTTCAGGAGCAGCACAGGCAGAAGCACTTTGAGAAGAGGCGGAACCCGGCAGCAGGCCTGATCCAGGTGAGTCCAGGTGTCCCCCGGGGACCAGCACAGCCCTTGTCCTGGTCCCACCTTGTTGAGGAGTGGAGGCCGCTGGGGCTTTGGCATTGCCCTGTCTGTGGATGGGCCACAGCGCTCACCCTCTGCAGGAATCTGTGGAAGGAGCGAGGATGTGAAGTGTGTGTGTTGAGAAATGGCTCCAACCCCTGAGGCTGCACAGGGGTGGCTCGTGTGAGGACGCTGGGGTGGCCCTTGCCTTGTGTGGGTGCTGGGGCCCGGCCATCAGGTCCTCTCTACCGCACCCTGGGAGGTGAGCACACCCGTTCTGCAGCTGCAGGGCCAAGGCTCCTAGAGCCCACACACTGCAGTGAGTCAGTGCCTGACCTCGTCTGACCCCTGATGCTGGCTGTGGGCCCCCATGATGCCCGCCCGGACCCCACCCAGTGCCGTCCCACCATTTGGGGGTGGGTAGCGTGCAGTGACCACTGTGGCATCCACAAGTAATTCCTGAGCCACCTTGAAAATACGGACAGACAATGGCCGGGCACAGTGGCTCACGCCTGCAATCCCAGCACTTTGGGAGGCCGAGGTGGGAGGATCACGAGGTCAGGAAATCAAGACCAGCCTGGCCAACATGGTGAAACCCTGTCTCTCCTAAAAATACAAAAATTAGCTGGGCGTGGTGGCGTGCGTCTGTAATCCCAGCTACTCGGGAGGCTGAAGCAGGAGAATCGCTTGAACCAGGGAGGCGGAGGTTGCAGTGAGCCGAGATCACGCCACAGCACTCCAGCCTGGGTGACAGAGCGAGACTCCGTCTCAAAAAAAAAGAGAAAATATGGACAGACAGCAGGACCCCCTTGGGACCAGCCATTCTTGCAGCTCCTCCCCAAAGTCTTCCATCCACTGGACCCGCAGAGCTGACCAGGATCCCTGCCAGCGGAATGTGGCTATAGGCTCTCTCCTGTCTTAGACAGCAAATCTTGAGATGGAGATAATCCTGGGTTACCCCAGGTGGGCCCTAAATGCAATCACATGCATCCTTATAAGAAGGAGATTTGACACAGAGGAGGGGAAAGCAGTGTGACCACAAAGGCGGAGACTGGAGACGTGGCCACAAGCCGCGGAGTGTCAGTGGCCACTGCAGGGGATGTGCCTCTTGTGGTCTTGGCTCTGGGTCCAGCCTACCTTAAGGTGTGTATTTATCTTCCACTATAAAAACTACAAACAGCTATTTATTTCCAGGCAAGAGTTTTAAGAAGAACCAAAATGCCCCCAAATCTCACTCCACTATTGACGGTTTAAAAAGTGACCACGTACGTGTGGTGAAAAGGTTACAATAGTGCCAGAAAAAGCAGCGTCTGAGCACCCAGGGTCCCATGCGCCCTGCTTCCCTCGAAGGTCACTCTTAGCAGCTGGTGCACATTTCCAGAGCACAGCTGGGCCTCTCCACAGGCGCACCTCAGAGGACCTGCAGCCGTGGTTCCAGACCACTACGGTAGAGATACGGCAATAAAGCGAGTCACACAAATTTCGTGGTTTCCCAGTGCATATGGAAGTTATGTTTACAGGCTGGGCACCGTGGCTCCCACCTGTAATCCCAGCACTTTAGGAGGCTGAGGCAGGCAGATCTCTTGAGGTCAGGAGTTCGAGACCAGCTTAGCCAACATGGTGAAACCCCATCTCTACTAAAAATACAAAAAAATTAGCTGGGCGTGGTGGCACACGCCTGTAATCCCAGCTACTCAGGAGGCTGAGGCAGGAGAATCACTTGAACCCGGGAGACGGAGGTTGCAGTGAGCCGAGATTGCGCCACTGCATTCCAGCCTGGGAAACAGCCCGAGACTCCGTCTCAAAAAAAAAAAAAAAAAAAAGTTATGTTTATACCATGCCATAGCTTACTAAGTGTGCAGTAGCATTATGTCTAAAAAACAGTAAAACACTGCACGTACTTTCACTTACAAATACTTAATTGCTAAAAAAATACTAACAATCACCTGAGCCTTCTGCGAGTTGCAATCTTTGTGCTGGTAGGGGGTCTCACCTCGATGCTGGTGGCCACTGCTGATGAGGTGGGGCTGCTGAAGGCTGGGGCTGTGGCGATTTTTTTTTTTTTTTTGAGACGGAGTCTCGCTCTGTTGCCCAGGCTGGAGTGCAGTGGTGCGATCTCAGCTCACTGCAAGCTCCACCTCCCTGGTTCCTGCCATTCTCCTGCCTCAGCCTCCCAGGTAGCTGGGACTACAGGCACCCACCACCACGCCTGGCTAATTTTTTGTATTTTTAGTAGAGACGGGGTTTCACCGTGTTAGCCAGGATGGTCTCGATCTCCTGACTTCGTGATCCTCCCGCCTTGGCCTCCCAAAGTGCTGGGATTACAGGCGTGAGCCACTGCGCCCGGCTGTGGTGATTTCTTAAAATAAGGCAAGAATGAGGTTTGCCGCATCGATTCACTCTTCCTTTCACGAAAGATTTCTCTGCAGCATGCGATTCTGTTGGATAGCGTTTTACCCAGTGGACCTCCTTTCAGCATCGCAGTCAGTCCTCTCAAATGCTGCCACTGCTGTATCAACTAAGTTTATATAATGTTCTCATTCCTTGTCATTTCAACACAGTTCACAACATCTTTGCCTGGAGTAGATTCTGTCGACCAAAAAAAAAAAAAAAGAAACCACACACATGTCAAATGTATTTGGGAATTAGAAGAAAGGATTATAACCAGAGATGAACCACTGTGGCCAGAGGGTGGGGGACTCTCATCGAGAGATGAGCCAGTGTGGCGAGCCACCCATGTGCCGGAGAGGGAGGGGCAGGGAAGCTCTCCCTGGCTGAGAAGTTCACATAAGCTGCTTGGAAACAGAGTTCACTGGCTCTGAGGCTGAAAACCAGAGTTGGCAGCCGTTCACTGGTTGAGATGCCGCTGCTGGGCCAGTGTTCTTCCTAGAGCATCTTGTCTGAATTGCTGCATTCCTGATAAGGAATTCCTTGTGGGGTTATTTTAGAATGTCTTTGACACTGTCCTCATCTCAGCCATGCAGGCGTGAGCCCTGCCGCCGTGTACTCTCTGGCCTCGGTTGGTTTGGACCTGACAGAAGTGACCTTACCCTGCTGTCTGCAGTGTTCACCGTCCATCCCAAGAAACCACTTACTTTGCTCATCCATAAATGCTGCTCCTCACCTGTTAGAGTTTTATCCTGAGATGGCAGCAGTTCAGTCCCGTCTTCAGGCTCCACGTTAGGATGGCCAACTTTTTTTTTTTTTTTTGTTGAGATAGGGACTTGCTCTCTTGCCCAGGCTGGAGTGCAGTTGTGTGATCTTGGCTCACTGCAGCCTCGACCTGCCAGGTTCAAGCGATCCTCCCACCTTAGCCTCCTGAGTAACTGGGACTACAGGTGTGCACCACCATATCTGGCTAATTTTTTGTTTTAAGTAAAGGCAGGGTTTTGCCATGTTTCCCAGGCTGGGCTTGAACTCCTGGGCTCAGGCGATCCACCTGCTTCAGCCTCCAAGGTGTTGTGAGCCTCTGCGCCAGGCCAGGGCGGCTGACATGTTAGCAAATGGCAAATCAGCGTAGTGAGGATGTGTGGACACCGCCCCCCCTGCTGGTAGGAATGTAGCGATGCAGTCACCCTGGAAAGCAGTTCGGTTGTTTCTCAGAAAGTTCGTAAACGTGGAGTTGTCACGTGACCCGGCCATTCTACCTCTAGGTATAGACAGACACAAAAGAATTGAAAACAGACCTTCAACCAAAAACGTGCACACAAATTTCACAGCAGCACCACTCATAGGAACCAAAAAGTGGAAACAGCTGAAATGTCTATTAATGGATGAACGGAATGTGATTTATCCATACGATCCTCCTATCAGGAGGAGCGGGCGCTGCCCCTTGCTACGACGCGGATGGGCCGCGGGGACGTCACGCTCAGTGGAGGGAGCCAGACGGGGAAGGCCGTGCAGCTTGCGATGCCCTTGGCAGGAAATGCCCGGGGCGGGGAAGTCCGTGGAGCCCCGTACACCCTGGCGGTGGCCAGGGCCTGGGGGACCAGGAACCAGGAGCGCCTGCTGAACGTCGGGGGTAGGAGGGGGTTTATTTGGGGGCGACGAAGAGGTGTGGAGTTAGATAGGGGCAGTGGTCGCACAGCACTGTGTGTGCAGGCGCTACTGAAGTGCACGCTTTAACATGGCTAACATGGTGAACTTCAGGATATGTCTATTTCAGCACCGCAAAACAAAACAAAGGCATAGAGAACGGAAATCCAGCCAGGCGAGGTTCAGTCTGACGTACAGGCTCATGCCCCGAGCCGGGCTGAGTCCCCGCCCTGGGAGGTTGGAGGCTGAGGTCCCTGGCCCTACCCATACTCCCAGCGCCTCAGGTTGCCCAGGGCCCAACCAGGAGGGCAGGAAGGTAACCCCCAGGACAGGTGATACCCGCCAGGGGCCAGGTAAGAGTCATGAAAAGGAAAGAACACAGCCTCCCTGCGAGCTCGCTCAGGGCCCCGAGTCAAGCCCCAACCGCTCCCCTCCTTCAGGCCCCACCGTCTGACAAGCGGGCTTGCCTGTCTGTCCTACAGAGGGTAAACTGAGGCTGTGGGGCTGATGCAGCACTGGGGCCTGGCCTGCTGGCCCAGAGTCCTGAGTGCCTGGCCTACAGCATGGGGGTCCCCTCTGCCCCGTTCCCTCCACGCCCGGCCCTCCTGGGCGCGCCCCTCGCCGCCTGCCCCTCGCCAACTGCCTTGTCTTTCCCTCCGCAGTCGGCCTGGAGATTCTACGCCACCAACCTCTCGCGCACAGACCTGCACTCCACGTGGCAGTACTACGAGCGAACGGTCACCGTGCCCATGTACAGGTACCGCCGCCGGGCACCTGCCACCAAGCAACTGTTTCATTTTTTATTTTCCATTTGTTCTTAAACCCCACTTTTTGTTGTTCATTATTTTGATTGATTTTTTTTCTTTAAAATGTATTTTTCACAAAGGAGTTCTGTGTGTGGTTTATTTCGAGGCGTTGCTTCTGCCCTTTGTGTTAGAGCTGCGGCTTTCTCTTCACTTTCATTTCCTCACCCCTTTGCTTTATCGTCCTGGCCGTGGGTCGTGCTGTGTTTTGTGCGTTGCAAGGACGCTCCCCAGGGAGCTCAAGGTAAATGCCCCCCGCCCCGGGCTGCTCTGGACCGACAGCTGCTCCCCGGGCTGCTCTGGACCGGCAGCTCGAGGTGCCCAAGCTTCAAGAGTGGAACCAGTACCATGACCCCGTCCCCCATCAAGGACCTAGGGCTCCGGCGTGGGGGGCAGGAAAGTAACCCCGGATCACAGTGAGACTTTCAGACCAGGAAACTCAAATTATCCTGGGGGTCCCAGGTGTTCCCCAACAGGACAGAGCACACAGACAACCTTGGAGCCCCTCGGGCAGCAGAGAAGGGGGCCTAGAAAGTGCCTGTCGAGGCAGTGCTAGCAGGTCCTGTGAGCCTGTGTGGTCGGAGGGCGGCTTTCCCGTGTTTTTTTGTTTTACAAAAGGGCAGGTGGCAGCCAGCTGGGATTTTCGTTGCCTGGCTCTTGCTTAAATTAAGGTCTGAGATGAGGGGTTCTGAGGGCCTTTCTCCTGGTCCACGCGGGCCTGACCCCTCGAGTCCGTCTGTGTGGGCACCACCTTGCCCGCCCGCCCTCTGCTCTGAGGTGGGGAACTGAGCCCCGGGACTTCCCAGCTCCCGCGCCCCCCGTCACCTGCTCCTAGGGGGTTTCTGTCCCCTGGAGCCTTCCCTAAGGGTGGGGCCTTCCCTGTGGGTGGAGCCTTCCCTGAGGGTGGATCCTTCCCTGGGGGTGGGGCCTTCCCAGAGGGTGGAGCCTTCCCTGAGGGTGGGGCCTTCCCTGAGGGTGGGGCCTTCCCTGAGGGTGGAGCCTTCCCTGTGGGTGGAGCCTTCCCTGAGGGTGGAGCCTTCCCTGAGGGTGGGGCCTTCCCAGAGGGTGGGGCCTTCCCTGAGGGTGGGGCCTTCTCTGTGGGTGGATCCTTCCCTGAGGGTGGGGCCTTCCCAGAGGGTGGAGCCTTCCCTGTGGGTGGAGCCTTCCCTGTGGGTGGATCCTTCCCTGAGGGTGGAGCCTTCCCTGAGGGTGGGGCCTTCCCAGAGGGTGGAGCCTTCCCTGTGGGTGGATCCTTCCCTGAGGGTGGAGCCTTCCCAGAGGGTGGAGCCTTCCCTGTGGGTGGAGCCTTCCCTGTGGGTGGATCCTTCCCTGAGGGTGGGGCCTTCCCTGAGGGTGGGGCCTTCCCTGTGGGTGGGGCCTTCCCAGAGGGTGGAGCCTTCCCTGTGGGTGGATCCTTCCCTGAGGGTGGAGCCTTCCCAGAGGGTGGAGCCTTCTCTGTGGGTGGAGCCTTCCCTGAGGGTGGGGACTTCCCAGAGGCTGGGGCCTTCCCTGTGGGTGGATCCTTCCCTGTGGGTGGAGCCTTCCCTGTGGGTGGATCCTTCCCAGAGGGTGGAGCCTTCCCTGTGGGTGTGGCCTTCCCTGAGGGTGGGGCCTTCCCTGTGGGTGGATCCTTCCCTGAGGGTGGGGCCTTCCCTGAGGGTGGGGCCTTCCCTGTGGGTGGGGCCTTCCCTGTGGGTGGAGTCTTCCCTGTGGGTGGATCCTTCCCTGAGGGTGGAGCCTTCCCTGTGGATGGGGCCTTCCCTGAGGGTGGGGCCTTCCCTGCGGGTGGGGCCTTCCCTGTGGGTGGATCCTACCCTGAGGGTGGAGCCTTCCCTGAGGGTGGGGCCTTCCCTGAGGGTGGGGCCTTCCCTGTGGGCGGGGCTTTCCCTGAGGGTGGGGCCTTCCCTGAGGGTGGGGCAGGTGCACAGTGTGGCTGGGAATTCTAAGCTGGGGTGGGGCCCAGGATTCTTCTTGAGGATCCTGAGTTGGCCAGGGTGGACAGACCCGCGGCAGTCCTCAGTTGCTACCTGCCTTTTCAGGGTGTCACTTGGGAGGAGGATGCCAGAGCCCTTGGCGGTCCTCGATGTTTGCAGTCGCCCTCTGGGGTCTGCCCCAACCCCTCCCTCAGCACCATCCCCCCTGCACCTCCTGGAAGCCCGACCTTAGGAGCCTGGCCCTGCTTGTCTTTCCTGGGAATGTCGGCCATGCCCTTGTTTCTGCAAAGTGACCTCTCTCAGCCCAGGGCAGGGACAGAACCAGCCCTTGTGCTAATTTTCTTTGTTCTGTTGTTTCCCCTACTTTCCTCAACTATTTGTTTCATTTTCTTTTTCTTATCCCGTTCTTTTTGAAATTTTCCGTTCTTTTCCCTTTGTGTGTGTGGAAACACTTGAAAGTTCGCAAACTCAAACCTACGGGGCCTCCAGGTAGGAAATGCATGGACAGAAGCCCTGTGTGTGTGTGTGGTTCTAGTTCTGTGTCTGGAACTGTGACCGGGCAAGCCCCTGGAGCCCCGTGGCCCACCCGGTCTGCAGAGTGACCACTGTCCCTGCCCACCGAGCATCCCTATGCCCCCTGCCCTGCGTGGCCCCATGCTGGGCGGCCAGATCACCCTGGGCCCTCCCCTGCCTGGAGCCCACGTGCCAACCCTGCCCTCCCAGGGCCCATCCACCCTTCTCGTCCTGCCTCCCCCCAGCCGCTGCTTCCTGTTGCCAGCCCGCCTGTGTCCCCCGTGGTCTCGTTCTGTCCTGCTTCTGGCCTGGCTCCCCTCGTGCCTCCATCCCCACCCCACAGGCCCCATCTGTGAGCAGAGCAGGAATGATGGATGGGGGGCTTCCCCTGCCCTGGCGCTGGGCACCCATCTGGGGCCAAGGGTGCTCCCAGGCCAGGACCCCCAGACCAGCCACAGTCCTTGTCCCACCGTGGCTCACAGGGCAGCCTCTGCGGGCCAGCTAGCCTCAGGGGTCTGCCTCAGGGTCTCCTGCCCTGGACTCAAGTTTCTCCTGAGTCTTGCCCTGGCATCACAGGGGAACCCCAGGGCTCCAGGCCGTCCCACCCCTGTCCCCACTGCTGAGAGCAGGAAACAAGGCTGTTTGTTCAGACTGGAGAGCGCTGAGCTGCTATGGGAAGCCTCACCCCCATACAGCACAAAGGGCCTTTACCTGTCGGGTGGGCAGGCTTGTGCTCTGTGATGACACTGCCCTGCAGAGCCTGGGGCCAGCCACTCCCCACATAGACCAGAAGGGCTTCCTGCACAGAAGCCCTTGATGACTCCTCCAGGGGCCAGTCACCCGTCCTGGAGGAGAGACCTGGCTGCCCTTCCTGGGAACTGTTAGAATGTTGACTCTCCATTCCCAGAAAGGAAGTGGGTGCAGTGCTGGGCAGTGGTGGGTCCAGGGCTCCTCTGCCCCCGACATGCTCAGCCATAAGACATCTCCAATGTCTGCAGAGGCCCTGCTGCCCCTGGGGCCAGGAGGCTGGCGCTGAAGCCGGCTGCCTCCTCCCCAGCCTCTGCTCTCTCCCAGGGCCGCCCCCTCCCCTTGTTGCACCCTCGTCCCACAGCTCCGTCCTGCCCTGGCCCTGCCGCCCGCCTGTCTGCCCTGGCGCTGCTGCTCTGTGTGTTCGAGGCATGGCCTCCTATGTGGCTCTGAGGGCTGACGTGTGTGTCTCTCACCTGGGCCTGCGTGCGTGTGGGTCCCATCAAGGAGGGGTGGGGAGCCACCTGTGGCCCCCAGACAGACTCCGGCCAGGCTGGGCTCTGCTGCGCCCACAACACCAGCTCACCAGCTGCCTGGTTCCTGCTCCATCCCGACTTGGACAGCGGACTGTCCTCTGCAGGGAGGGGGCTCACAGGAGCCCCACTCCTGCCAGCATTTTGGGGGCACCTCTGGGGCTGCAGAGGGAACAAAGAGGGGCCAGGCACGGCTTTACCAGCTCACACCTGCCTAGCCTGTGGGGGGGCACCAGAGGCTGGTGGGGTGCAGGGAGGGGCTTCTGGACAGCTCTGGAGGGAGGAGTGTGGCTGGACGAAGTGGGAGTCGGCAGTAGGGTGATCACCAAGCCCTGAGGGACAATGGAGTCAGCCATCCTTTTGCTTTGGAGGCAGTGGGGAGCCATTGAGTGTTTGGTCAGGAGAGTGGCAAGGATGCCCATCTGGAGGACCAAGTAAGCCTGGGTGGGCAGAGGCAGGGCAGGTGAAGAGTCTGGAGGATGTGGGCCACGGCCCAGCCTGGGGCAGAGGGAGGACACGGGCAGGGGCATCTCCAGGGGGTGGCCGTGGCCATAGCCGCGTAGGGAGTCAGCTGGGTGAGGGCTGGGCTGGGAGGTGGCCGTCCTGCCTCCAACGCAGAGGAGAGACCAGGACGTGGCCCCAGTGGGGAGTGCTCCACAGGTGGGTGTGGGGAGGGGTGGAGGCCGTGGATGGGATGGCAGGGCCTGGGAGCAGAGGCTGAGGAGGCGGAGTGGAGGGGGTTCAGGTGGGTCAGGGAGCCGGGTGGGGGAGGCCCCAGAGGAGGGTGTCTCTTCCTGAAGCGAGCTGGAATGCTGTGAGGGCATGGGTGGTGAGGAGGAGTGGGCAGAGTGAGGTGGGTGGGAGTGGGGAGGGGTGAAGAGGGGGACGTCCCACCCAGACGTGAGGAGGTGCCTGCATACCTGCCTGGGGGGCTTCGGCGGGCCCGGACTTGGTCCTGCTGGTGGCTGTGGGCGGCAGGGCAGGAAGACAGGGGTGGGTATGACCAGGACTGGGAAGGGGGCTCGGAGCAGAGCTGGGCCACCTGCGGAGGATTCCCAAGGCATCTGGGCCTGATGAGGCTGGGCTCATCCTATAGACTCCAGAATGAGCTGCTCTTTGCCAAGCAGAATCCTTTTCTGTATCCCCACCTCCCAACTCCTCCAGCTTTGGCAGAGAAAGTGGCTGTGTAGAGAGGGGCCGGGGCCCTAAATATATTCGCGTGCTGTCCCTCTAGGATGTTCAGGGATTAGAAGGGGGAGTAGCGCCTCCCCCTACCTGCGCGCCCTCCTCCACCTGCTCCAGGCTGCAGGGTCGGGGCTGCATGGGTGGCCAGGCGCCCTCTTCCCTCCTCCCTGCTGTCCCTGCTGGTTGACAAGGCCCCAGGCACAGCCAGAGAATGAAGATGGCTCCCAGGCCTGCCCAAGAGAGGTGGGCCTGAGCCCAGGGCCCAGTGGGCAGCTGCCTGAAAGCCTGGCCACGTCACATGCCGCCGGGTGTCTGACACTGCAGGCGCCTGCCCATGGAGCTGTGCAAGCAGAGGGAGGTGTCCCAGGACTCGGGAGGGTGAGACGCTCACTCCCCTCTCCTTCTCTTGCCCCAGACTTATCCCCCCGCTGAACCAGCTGGAGCTGCTGAGGAACCTCAAGAGTAAATCTGGACTCGCTTTCAGGTCAGCTGGGGAGCTCCAGGTGGGGCGGGTGGGCGTCTCAGTCCTCCTGGGGGCCCCAGCTGCCCACAGAAGACACGCCAGGACAGTGCCCCAGGGACTCCAGGGAGCTGGGACGCGCGGGGACGCTGGACTTGGTGATGGTGGTGCTTTCTCTTTTCGCGTCTGCTGACCTGGTCTGGGCTCCCACCCCCAGAGGGGCAGCTGGTTCGGGGGACGGGCAGAGAGGGAGGGGCGAAGGTTGATATGGGGCCGGGGGCTCTGCATGGCTCCTAATGGGGCCCAGGCGCGTGGGTCGTACGACAAAGTGTCCCAGCCCGTCGTCCTCTCGAGTGCCTGGTGGTAACTCAGGTGCTGATGGCGCCTGCTGCCTCTCCTTCAGGCCCAAAGCCCACGGCTGTCAGAGTGCCGGCTGTCGAGGTAGGTTGCAGAAGGGCCTGCTGAGCAGGAGAGGTGGAAGGCGAATGCACCTGCCAGGCCTGCCCAGGCCCAGAGCCGTCCCCAAGCAGTTCCATGTCTGAAAGCCCTTGGTGGGGCAGGGGCTTCCAGTGGGTTGGATGCTGGTTTCTGCCTCCTAGAGACACTCTTCTGCTCTGGAACCTATCAGGACGATCTCAGATCATCCTGGATTTTCCGGGCGGGCCCTGAGTCCAACAACGAGTGTCCTTACAAGGAGAGGGAGATTTGGAAGCACACAGAGGTGATAGCCAGCTAGGATGGAGAGAGAGACTGAAGTGATGCGGCCACAAGCCAAGGGCTGCCTGGAGCCACAGAAGCTGGAAGAGGCAGAAAGGACCCTTCCCTGGAGCTTTCGGAGGGAGCAGGCCCCGCCCGCACCTTGATTTTGGACTCTGGCGTCTAGGACTGTGAAAGAACAAACATCTGTTGTTACACACTCCAGCGGCACTTAGTTACAGGAGCCGTTGCACATGAATCCAGACTTTAATACCGGGAGCCGCGTGCGGCTGTGGCAAACGCCTACAAGCGCGGGTGTGACATCAGAACCGGGTGAGCCAAGGGCTCGTTTCCTAGAATCACAGGTTCATGCGTGGAGGACTCCAGCCCCAGGCTGATGCACACCTGCAATCACACACACCTGATTTAAATGATTCTGATGACTTTATTATTTTATTTATTATTATTATTTTGAGATGGAGTCTTGCTCTTTCGCCCAGGCTGGAATGCAGTGGTGCGATCTTGGCTCACTGCAACCTCCACTTCCCGGGTACAAGTGATTCTCCTGCCTCAGCCTCCTGAGTAGCTGGGATTACAGACACCTGCTACTACGCCCGGCTAAGTTTTGTTATTTTTGGTAGAGATGGGGTTTCACCATGTTGGCCAGGCTGGTCTGAAGCTCCTGACCTCAAGGGCTCTGCCCGTCTCGGCCTCCCAAAGTGCTGGGATTACAGGCGTGAGCCACTGTGCCCGGCCTCTGATGACTTCAGATGATGAAATTTGGGACTTTTTGAACTGATGGGATTTGGATGAGATTTTGGACGTGAGTATTTTGAGGTGCAGGCTGGAAGAAACTGAGGTGTCCTGAAGAGATGGTGGGTGGGGACACGGATGTTGAAGGTGCTTCTGGTGCGGGCTCAGGAGGAAGTGAGGATGCAGGTGTTGGAAGCTGGAGGGAAGGCTGTCCTTGTGTTGTTGGTGGCAGAGACTCCACTGGGCTGTGCGCTACTGTTGGGCAGAGGCAGAATTTTTAAGTGATGAACTGGGATATTTAGCCAAGAAGATTTCCAAGCAAAGTGTGGAAGGTGCAGCCTAATTTATTTCTGCTGCTCATAGTAAAGTATGAGAGGAAACAGGGAGATTCAGAGCAGCACCTGGCCGATCCGCCAAAAGACTATTAAAAAAAAAAAAAAAGGCATTCAGGGCAGAACTGCTGTAAGAAACCAGAACTTGAAGGTTTGGGAGGTGCTCAGCCTGTCCAGCTTGCAAAGGGTCTTAAATTAGGAGATTCACTGTTGGCAAAGCCTGCTTTGGAGAGAAGCCCACAGGTGTGGCCAGACAGCCTCATGCTGAAGGCACCAGGTGTGCGGCTGCAGCCTCCACCGTCTCCACAGAGGCCTGAAGATGGAGCTATCGGGAAGGATGTGCAGAGGGGCCTCTTGTCTAACGGCGTTGCGGCCTGTGGCATATTCAGGAGGCCCTAGAGGTTTTGGGGAGTTTCATACCAGCAGAAACTAGATTGGCAGAGACAGCGTTGGACGAAGGTAAGAGGGCATCGAACTTCGGGAGTCTGCAGGCAGGAAACAGGCCGGTGGCGCTCCTCAGCTGTGAACACGAGCTGCCCTTTAGGAAACGGGGAACGATCCCGAGGCTCCCGCAGAGGCCGGCGGGGCTGAGAGCCCCCGAGGAGCGTCCCCAGAGCTGTGCCACGTGGAGTTTGCCCCGCCGGATTGGAAACGTGGTGGCCGGCGGCCCCTCTGTCATTCTCCCTTTTTGAGTGGGAAGAGCTGTCCTGCTGTTGATACTTTAAGCAGATGGCTTGTTTTCTAGTTCACAAGCCCATGCATGGAGGACTTTAGCCCCAGGTTGGCGCACACCCACGGTCTCACACATACCTGATTTAAGTGATTGTCATGACTTCAGAGGATGGGATTTGGGACGTTTTGAATGGGTGGGATTTCTTTTTTTTTTCTCTGAGACGGAGTCTCCCTGCGTCACTCAGGCTGGAGTGCAGTGGCGCAATCACAGCTTACTGCAACCTCTGCCTCCTGGGTTCAAGTGATTCTCCTCCCTCAACCTCCCGAGTACCTGGGATTACAGGCACCTGCCACCACACCCGGCTAATTTTTGTATTTTTAGTAGAGACGGGGTTTCACCATGTTGGTCAGGCTGGTCTCGAACTCCTGACCTCAGGTGATCCACCCGCCTCGGCCTCCCAAAGTGCTGGGATTACAGGTGTGAGCCACTGTGCCTGGCCAACGGATGGGATTTCGATGAGGTTTTGGACACACAGTCCATGCTGCAGAGGGTGGAGATTTTGGGGGATCTTGGCAGGGGTGAGTGTATTCTCGATGTAAGATGGACATGAATTTTGGGGGGTCGGGGGAATGCAGTGGTTGAATGCTGGTCTCCAAAATGTCCCAGAATTTGCAAATGTGACCTGATTTGGAGAAAGGGTCCTTGCAGCTGTAACTGAGCTTGGGATCTTGAGATGAGGTCATCCTGGAACATCCTGATGAGCCTGGTGACAGCTTGAGCCCTAGCCCGGTGACAGCTGTCCTTACAGAGGTAGAGGAGGAGAAGACACAGAGACACAGAGAATGTCGTGTAGAGACGGAGGCAGAGACGGGGCGGTGCAGCCACAAGCCAAGGACACCTGGGCCACCGGGAGCTGCAGGAGGTGATGAGGGACCCTCCCCGAGAGCGTGGACCATGTTCCACGGCAACACGGTCCCTGTCACATGAAGTATTTGGAAGTGCACCAAAGAGCCTGCTTGTAACACGGCGTACCAGCCGGGGCACCAGCCCAGGTGTTCGAATGAGATCGCTGGGGCCTCCCCATGGATGAGCCAAATCACGATCCGCCGATCTCTCACTCAATCCATAACGCCTTTACCCGCGGAAACAGCCCCAGATGAGACGCCGGAAGGCCCAGACAGCTTTGCCTGCAGGACGAGGCCGGGACAGTTGGTCAGCGGTGCAAACCCTGGGCTCACTGACTGTGGCGCAGTGGAGCCACCCCTGGAAAGTCACGCGGAAGAGAATCATTCCATTAGGATGAGCGTGGAAAAAAGAGTCGGAGCAGCTCACTCTGTCTCGAAAATTGATTGTAAATTAAACTCCCTTCCAGAGCTTCCTTCAGCAAACACGTGCTTTTTGGAACTTTATTAATATTGGTGTGGTTCTGATTAAAATGAGTGTCTGTAAATGTGGAGGGGTAGAGACCCCCAGGTCAGAAGAGCAGAGGCCCCCGCCCCATGGAGTCCCTCTTCCCTCTCGGAGCTGCCTCCGTGGGCCCTGGGGTGCCCGTTCCTGGGGCCGTGGGCTCTCTGGGGTGGGTGGGCCAGCTCCACCCCTGCCCAGCCTTTTCTGAGACCCCCCTCCCCTGCAGCCCCTGACCCATGGGACTGTGGGGGGCTGGACTGGTTGGGGGACCCTCATGGGTGCTGAGTGGGCGGCCACTAACTCTCTGTTGCTTCTGTTTGAAGGAAGGACCCCCCGCCGGAGCCGTCTCCAAGGTCAGTGCCCCCTGCTGCTACCCTGGTGTCTGCCGTGTGCACGGCCGTCTGGTCTCTCTCCCACACGTGTGCGCAACCTGTCATGGAGATGTGAGGGCCTTGTGTGTGCTTCCGTGTGTGACTGTGTGACTGCGGGTCCAGACCCCCGCCTGGCGGTGATGTGGGCCCTTAAATCACTCTTCCTGCTCACCCCCTCCCCAGTGATTCGGTTTTACTTTGCAGCACTGTGGATCCGGGCAGCTGGGCGGCTTCTCGGGGGTGGGGGATCCCCCACCCCGCCCACAAGTCTGGCCCCAGGGTTCTCGGAGGCAGGGGGTCTCTGTTAGTGCGCTCCCTCCAGCTGCAGGCACATAGCCCGAGCTCACAGCTGGCCTGAGTCGACGCCGGCTGGGGTGAAAGCTCCAAGTGGGCCTCTGGCCTTCCCGCTGCTCTGGGTCCAGAGTGTCTGGAGCATGTGGCACAGACCAGGGCCCCTCGTCCTCCGAGGAGGGTGGGACATCCTCTCTGTCTCACGCCCCTGGGTGGAGATTCTGGCTGGCCTCCTCTCCCTGTTTGCCAAGGTCAAAGTGGGCCAAGGGTGCAGGTGCTTAGCCTGGTTCCCTCTCCCGGGCCCCGAGGTTCTGTGGGTCGGGCAGATTGGAGACAGGACTCGTGTAAGGGCTCTGCTGGGGTGAAGGATGGAGACAGAGAAAATCAAGATCCTTTCACAAGTTAATTCTACGTCTGCTGAGCCCCAGCCCCCGACACATCACCCTGAGGAGGTGCTAGGCTTCTCTGGGCCCCCTGTGCCCCATCCACATGTTGCAGAGTAAATCTGGCCCCTTGGACCTGGGGTCCGAGATGGACGCCTGGCTGCCCCTCCTGGACTGCGGGTGACAGCTGGCGAGACACTGCGGGGCTTGGGTGCGGGGAGATGGAGTGGGGCTGAGCTGCATTTTTCCAGCCACCCCACATCCCACAGAAGGGGAGTCATGGTCAGTGCCTTGAGCTGGAAAGACGGGCAATGCTTCCGGCCCACACCAACCAAGAAAACCACCAGGGGCTCATTCATCCTCTCAAAGAGGCTAAGAAAACGGACGAGGGCCCAGAAAGAGCTGGGTCGGCAGCGTAGCCTCTGCTGGTGCCAGCCCCCAGTGCTGCCACTGCCTCCCCCGCCCCTGCTGCTGGCCCTGAGGCTGGGAGTGGCTGTGGGGATGAGCACTGTGCCCCCCACAATGGGCACCCTTGGCTGTGATTTGGGCGGAACCTCGGTGCTGTCCCAGGTGGACGCGAGGCTTCCCGACGGCTTCCGCGTGGCAGGGCCCCACGCCCTTGCTGGGAGCGACGCCGGAACCCGCCCCGTGCCTCACGGCCCCTCGTGCTCGCTGCCCCAGCCCGGCCCGCTCCACGTTCTCGTCTCAGCCTCTCTCTTTCTCTCTCTCCCTCCCACCCTCCACTCCACCCATCTGGACACCCGCTGCCCCCAAGTGCTTTAATCCCTGTTACTGCCCTTCTCGGGCCCCTCTCTCGTCTGCCCTCTCTTTGGGGATGAGGTGCTGGCCCTGAAGGCGAACTCCAGGTGAGGACACGCGGGAGCCTCCGGGCTCTCCGGTAAGCTCTGTGGCTCCCCACCCCTCCCCCGTCTCTTCCCCATGTGTCCGGGGGGTCCTTGCCTGTGCCTCCCACGCCCTCCCCCACGGGCGAGCACCCACCCGCCCCGGCCCTCCTCCTGGGACGCCTGTGGTGGGGGACGTGGGGCTGCTGGGTCTGGGGCTTCTGGAAGGTGCCTGGGGTGCGGTGGGAGTGAGGAGCAGTCTCTGCCCTTGAAGACCCTCCCCGCCCATCCTGGGGTGCTCACCTGGCAGGTCACGGGGTGGCATCTCTGTTCCCTGGCCTGGGGCAGCCGCAGCCTGTCCAGTGTAGGGTCGTGCTTAGGAAGTTGTTCCGCAATCATTGCCTGCCACGTCCCTGGGCTGCTGGGTGAGGGGCCTGCTCTGCGAAGCTTGATGGGGAGCTCGGCTCCTGGCGCCCCTCTGCTGCCTGACCTGGGCTCTGTGAGTCTGGTGGGACCTGTGCCTCCGCCTGCCCTTTGGAGGTGGAGCCCGCACCCCGCATGGCAGGACCCCGCTGGTGTCAGCTGGTCTTGGCAGGTGGATGGTGTGGACACAGGGACCCTCACTCACTGCTGAGACCCCCACCCCCATCCTGGCTCAGAACACAGGCACGTGGTGGCAGGCGACCCGGCTGGCGGGGGCTCGGTTCCCGTAGGGACCACTGGGGCTGTGCTGGAGTCAGAGGAAGCGTCTACGTTGGGGTCGGGTGGGGAGCCAGGCAGGCTGCGGGGCTCGGGCCGTGCTGCCCCAGGGGGGTCCCGGGGGGTCTCTTTGGCCACGGCGGTTCTGACTTGTGCTGTCTTGTCCGACACCCCATCTCACTGCCTCCTGCCCCCGTGCTGGAGGAGGAGCCCCCAACACCGGCTGCCCCCTCATGCCTGTGCGGGCTCCCCCGTGCCTGTTCGGGCTCCCCCTCCTCTTCTCAAGCACACGTGTCCGCGTGTTTTTGGTGCATGTCTGTCCTGTCGGGTCTCGGTCAGTGTCTGTGGGTCTCGAGCTCACTGTGGGCCTGTCCGCCTGTCCGACCTCGGGTCACAGGGCCTTCTCACGCAGTGTGGAGCTCCCTGTGGCTGATGGGGCAGGAAGGAAGCCCAGTGCCAGCTGCGGACCCCAGGGGGAGGTGCAGCTGCACGGGTCCCCCACAAAGCTTTGGGGGTCTTGGGGGGCTGTGCCTGCAGCGCCTCCCTGCCAGCTCTCCCCGGCTCTCAGACCACGTTGCCCCATACAGGAGCTGCCAGCCACATGTGGCTGTTAAAATAACATGGATTATAACGGGCACGGTTAGAGATTCACTCTCGAGTCTCAGGTGCCTGGTGGCGACAGCCGGAGCTTCAGTGTGGCTACAGGACGATCCCATTGCAGAATCGGGCGGCAGGGCCGGCCCGGGAGGGGCCTCTTGGTCAAGGCGATCATGCTGGGGTCAAAACAGGAGACCTTGGGAGGTTTGGGGAAGCGGGACCCTGCCTCCTTCATGCTCTTTCCCTGGGGTGGGGAAGGTCTCCTGGGGCCCTCCAGGCAGGGGCTCTGTGCTTGGGCCTGGGTGGTGCTGGTGGGAGTCTGAGGTCTTTGCCTGCCAGGAAGGCCTGGGTGTCATCGTAGCTGGGGTGGTCACAGCGGGAGAGACTCTGAGCAGCCAGAACCTCAAGCCAGGCGCAGGGAGCCGGCTCCCTCCTGCCTCGTCCCACCGTCGCGTTCGTGGTTAACCAGCAAACAGAGTCCAGCCTTTGCACTACATCCCTTCGTGCCTGGGGACCCCAAAGTCGCTTGTGTACTAAAAAGCCGGACCGGCACGGGGGCTGGGGTGGAAGCCGGCCACCCGCCCTTGGAGTCTTGCAGGCTGGTGGGGCTTGGGGAAGGGTCCAGAGCCCTCAGCCTACCCGGGCGGCTGAGTGCTGCCGTGACTGGAGCTAGCCGTGTCTGTGACGCCGCTCGGAGAGCTGCCTGCGGGTGCGTGCAGGGACATCGGTGTCTAAACACACGTGTGCGCAGGAAGACGGGAGGCTGGGTGCTTTCTTCCTAGAGCCTGTGTGTTCTGAGTGGATGCCGTCGCCACGCTGGGGTTCCTGGGGCACCGAGTTTGAGAAGTGCTGTCTCAGGAAGCAGTGGCAAGGAGGTTGGGGGTGGCTGGGGTGGGGAAAAGGAAGAGTTCTTGAGTTCTTGGTGATTGGTTTCATTTTTTGCTTAATCATTTGCACATTGTGATGCAGAGCTAAATCGCCAGGGTTTTTGGGGAGATTCTTGGGAAAACGTTCCGTGTTTTCTGAGCCTTTTCTAAGGAACGCCCCGGCGGGGAGCTGCGCTCCTGAAGGGCTTCACAATGAGGGGATCCACTGAGCCCCAACGTGACTGTCCTCAGGGGAGCCCTTGAACCCCCAGATAGCCATGCCTGCAGTGGCAGCCACGCCTCCTGGGTAAACCGAGACCCACCTCCAACTGGGGGACTGGCTGGCATGGCCAAACGTCGCCGATTGGTTTGCAAAGCGGGACAACTGCACGTTTTCCTCTCTCAAATGTGTGTGCTTCACACCCACGCCCTTTCCCGGGGTCACGTCCTTCCCAAGCAGGGCTTCTGCGGCGTCTGAGGCCACATGTATTATTGTTTTGTCAGCATGAATACTGCAAAAAATAATACATCTTTTAAGACATGAACCCAAACTGTGGCTTTGGAAGGAAAAGGTATTTTTGGAGGAAAAAAAAAACAGGGATTTTTTTCCTTCAGAAATAGGGAAGTGTTTTCTTCTCCGGACGGTGGAGACGATGGTGCACCTTCCTCGCTGGCCTTGCTTGGGCGCAAGCTCTGCCGCTGGGGACTGCACACAACACCCTGGGTGGTTGCAGTGCCTCAGTTTCCCTGCTCCCGGCCGTGTGCTGTTGCCGGCGCCCAGGACTAACTGTGCTCTCCTCATTTCCAGTAAAGGCAGCCCGTGCAGAGGGCCCCTGTGTGGATGCTGCCCCGGACGCTCTAGGTACCGCGGAACACGCCGCACGGACTGACGGCTGCTGCACGGCTCCTCTGCCCCTCCCTGCTTACTAGAGGTTCTGGAGGAGCCAGGGGGAGGCTGGCGCCCCAACCCCAATTCTGACCCACCGCCCTGGCGGTGCGGGCTCAGCTCCCTCTATTCTAGCCGACAGCTGCGTGCAGGGCGGAGCTGGGGGAAGGTGCTTCTTCTTGCTCCCCACGCCAGGCGATGTCCTGCGCACAGCCAGAGGGGCCAGCCAGGGGCTCTGAACCCAGCAAGGCGTCCGTGCCTCCTGGGGTCCCCGACTGCTCTTCAGGGAGCGTTTCCCCTGGGGCTGTCACTCTAGCACCTCTGCTGCGTACCTGAGGATGACTGAGCCTTCCTGGCTGCCTCGACCGCGGGAGGCAGCTCCGTCTGTGTGTGCCGGGCTCCTCAGGGTCCTGATGCATCAGAAGCCCCAGAAAGCCAGAGGCCCGCGGCTCCCTCTCCCAACAACAGGCCTGGTTTAGGGCAGGTGGAAATAGGACGGGGGAGGAGCCGCCCCCTTTGCACCGTGGGCTCCTGGCCTGCACCGTGACCCGCACCTCCCCTGTCCCCGCGTCCCCTGTCTGCTGTTGGGTGTGTGCAGGCCTGCGCTGGGGGCCCCTCCCTCCTGGCCAGCACAGCCCAGCAAGGTGGAGGTGGCTGTGTCGTGCTCCTGTGGGGCTCTCCTTGGCATGTGCATGCCGCCGGTGGTGCTGGCCTTGGAGGGCTGGTGGGGCTGCATGCTGCCTATCTGCATCCGTGCATGCTTCGGACCCTGCTCCATGGGGGGCCCGCGACTCCATGCCACCCTCTCCCTGTGACTTTGCTGCTTGTGTGCTTCTGGGGGCGTTGGTGCTTGCGGGGAGACTGTTGGCAGCTCCAGAGAGGGAGACGGGCGTGTGGGCTGCCTGGGGCATGGCCTGCTGGGGCGCTAGCAGCTGTCCTGCGTGTCCGGAGCATCTATTCAGGGTGCTTCTGGCCGCAGGCTGGTCCCTCAGGGCAGGGGCTGAGGTCAGGCTGCTTGGGGACCAGAGGGGTTTGAAAGTGGGGGTGGGAGCCCAGGCCAGAGAACAACCCAGGGCAGGCCCTGTCCTGCTGCGAGCAGCCCCCACGGGAGGCCCCTTCATCCTCACGCTTCCTGGGCGTCGTTGGTCCGGACACCAGCTGGGCAGGGGTCTGGATGCTCCTCAGCCTCCTGTTTCCTGCGGGCACCGCACATCTGAATTTCACCATTGGGAGGGAGGGTGGCAGGCCGGGTGGGGATGGCGCGCTCTCAGGTGCTTCTTGAGCCTGCCCCGGCCCCGTAAGCCCCAAGCGTAGGTGCCACGGACGCCCCTCGCACACAGAGGGCAGCTCTGGCCGAGGGCTCCTCCCAGGTGGGTGGCGGCAGCTTTTCGCGTGCGCTTGTTCTTGGCTTGTGGCCGAGGGAGGGCCTGCGAGACCACGCGTGCTCCTGGCAGCTGAGGCAGGCTGGCGGGGTCGGGTGTCTGCAGCATGGAGCCTCACCAGCTGTGCTTGGAGGGTGCAGAGTTTGGGTCATGGTGGAGGTCCAGGGGAGGGAAGGACATGTCCAGGTCGCGCCACCCTCCTCTTCCTGGCAGAGCCTCCCTCGCAGATCTGAGGTGGGAGCGGAGCCCGAGACCCGGGACAGCAGGGCCGCGCCGAGGCCAGGGCAGGCTCCTTCCCGCCGGCTCTGTCTGGGGCAGTACACGTGGGCTGCGTCCCGGCGGCCCCTGGGGCTGTGCTGGGCATCGGGTCCAGCAGGGTGTGTCTGCCGCTGGCGGGGCTGTGGCTCCTTGTCGTGGTCAGCGGGGGGTCCCCCCTGAAAAATGGGAAGCAGACGTCGGGGCTGGGTCTTCTCTCCTGGGGCCTGTGGAATCCACGCCACTCCCTTCCTGCAACTCCCTGCGGACTGTGGGGCCTGACCCTTCCTGGCCCGCACGTCTGTGTGGCCGCCTGGGTATTTGACCCGTTCCCCTCCGGGGCCGCAGGTGGGAATCTGATGCCCATTCCTCAAGCTGTGCCTTTCCCACTGCAAGCCCTCAGCACCGGGCTCTGCCCAGAGACCAGCCAAGGGCAGCCCCGAAGCTACAGTTGGGCCGACCGGCTCTGTCCTCCACCCGGTGCTTTGCCAGCTGCCGTGAGAAAGGAGGTGGCTGCTTCTCTCTCTGGTGACTGGACCTGCCTCGGGTGGAAACGCAGAGAGAGGAATTGAGTCTTCCAGTGACTCCCACTTGCCCTGAGGCCTGCCTGAGCGGGGTCAGGAGGGGCCTATTCTTGCCTTTGAAATGGCTCGTGCGGTGGAGAAAGAGAGAACATTCCAGGAGTCCCGCTGAGCCTGTGCCCATGTGCTCCCCTGGCCCCCGTCCGGTTCTCCCCGACCACCTGTGCTTTTGTTGTTGGGATGGGGACCAGAGGCCGTTGGGACAGAGGCACCCACAGCACCAGGACTCTGAGCACCCCTGGCCCCCATGGGCACGGTGTGTTGGCCTCAGGCAGTGCAGGGGTGTGGACTCAGGACTGGGGTCCTGAGCGAGCCTGTACCATCGGCTCCTGACGTCCCCAAGCACGCGACGCCTCGGGACTCGGGGGATCTCGGCCACTCCGTCTCTGCTTCCCCGAGCGGGCACAACACCCAGGGGCTTCTTTCTTTCTCTCAGAGACGCCTGAGTGGGGACAGATGGTCTGCTGAGTGGGCACAGATGGTCTGGGCGGTCACCTGCTGCCTGGGGGATGGGGTGGGGAGGGGCAGCCAAGCGATCCGCGTGTCCAGGCCAGGCAGACGGGCGCGGTGGGCTCTCATGTCTGTGGCTGGTTATCTCTGTGCCGTCTGGTGGGCGTGTCTCTCTGGCTGTGGGTCTGGAGTCGGGGCTGATGGTGGCTGCTGACCGGGGCCTCAGTCCCTCGCTGTTGGCTGGGGAGCCGCCGTGGGATCAGGGAGCCCGTGAGGCACTGGGCTTCCTCTCTGAAGTGTGTCAGGGATCTGCGGGGCCTCCCCACCCGAAGGCTTGTTTCAGGCTCCAGCAACAGTGCTCTGGGCCCTGCCCAGAACCACCCTGAGAAGTTCCGTGGCTGCTAAGCATGGCTGGGCATGAGCGGGTCCCCAGTTCGTGAGAGCCCCACTGTCCTCAAGGGAGCCAGGGGGTTCTGATGCTTTCCAGACCTCAGGAGGCCACATCTGCCTGGCGTCTCCCAACCACCAACCACAGTGAACCCTCCCCTCCCCTCACTGTCGCCCGGCGGACGCTGGAGTTGAAGAACTCGGGTGCAAACCCATCTCCACGGTCACCAAAAAACTCGGGGGCAAGGCAGGCCCAAGGACCCCCCGAGAGTATGGAGCTGGAGACCCAGCCAGACACAGCTGCAAATCCTGCTTCACGCCTCGCAGGCCGAGGGGGCCGGGCCACAGCGCTGTGGCTTTGGAGGCTGCCTCCCCCTGCCCTGGGGCAGGACTTGGATAGTGAGGCCCAGCTGGCGGAGGAGCCCCGTTATCCATTCCTTCCTTCCAGAAGCCGGAAGGAGCAGTTCTCTGACACGGACCTGGTGGGAGGGGAGCCTGACAGGGGAGGCCTGAGCCCTCCTGAAGCCCATCCCACCAGGCAGGCCCCCGGGGTGGGTGGAAAGGCCGGAGTGTGGCTGAACAAGGGTCCACCGCAGACTTGGCCCCCAATGTCCTTGTTGTCCCCTGGCCCCTCGACTCTGGGGCAGAAGGAGAGGGACAGGCCGTGGGAGGGGAGGAGGGAGGCTGCTTCCTGGGAGCAGTTACGGGTGTGAAAAGGCCACAGGGGAAACCACGGGCGGGGCCGGGGCAGACAGAGGTGCCCGAGGAAGAGCCACAGCCCCGGTGTTTGGGATGCCCGTTGCCCTGAGTGTCACTGGGTGAGGGGCTGGCAGGACAGTGTGAGGAAGGCTCCGGCACCTCGTGGTGGTAGCGGAAAGTGATTTAAGAGTCCACAGACATCAACTCTCCCCACATGGCCAACCTCTGGCCACGCCTGAGCCAGCCGGGGGAGCTTGCTGCCCACCCAGCCTCCCCTCCCTCCCTCCCGCCGGGTGCTCAGTGTCTGTGGCCTCCCCTCCCTCCCTCCCGCCGGGTGCTCGGTCCCCGTGGCCTCCCCTCCCTCCCTCCCGCCGGGTGCTCGGTCCCCGTGGCCTCCCCTCCCTCCCTCCCGCCGGGTGCTCGGCCCCGGTAGCCTCCCCCCCTCCCTCCCGCCGGGTGCTCGGTCCCCGTGGCCTCCCCTCCCTCCCTCCCACCGGGTGCTCGGTCCCCGTGGCCTCCCCTCCCTCCCTCCCGCCGGGTGCTCGGTCCCCGTGGCACCTGCTCTGAGCCACCCGTGTGGCTGGCTGTTCTTCAGACCTGTGTCTCCCTCCGGCGCATGGGCGGCGTCGGCCATGAGCAGACACGGCCTGTGTTCTTTGCAGAGTGACTTCTCTCCCTGTTTTTCTGTCTGTCTGTCGGTTCCCGTGGGAGCAGCCAGAAGGTCAGTTTGAAAGATCGTGTCTTCTCCAGCCCCCGAGGCGTGGCTGCCAAGGGGAAGGGGTCCCCGCAGGCCCAGACTGTGAGGCGGTCACCCAGCGCCGACCAGAGCCTCGAGGACAGCCCCAGCAAGGTGCCCAAGAGCTGGAGCTTCGGGGACCGCAGCCGGGCACGCCAGGCTTTCCGCATCAAGGGTGCCGCGTCACGGCAGAACTCAGAAGGTGGGTGTGGCCGCATCCTCTCCTGGTCCATCCTCTCCGGGGATGGATGTGGTGGCCACGCTACTGTGGCCACCCTGTGGCGTCGCAGCTGCTTTTGCTTGCTCTTGGAGTGGGAACCCCCTATCCTTTCTAAAATTGAGGTGAGACTTGTGCAACCTAAAATTAACTATTTAAAAGTGTAG
>NT_187623.1:0-118774 GCF_000001405.40 Homo sapiens | reverse complement strand
GATCTGGCCCTCTTGCTCTGGGCTCCCTTTTGTCTGACTGTAGACTCTGGGCACCCTGGCCGCTTGCAGGGGTGAGCACAGCTGTCATCTGCTCCTGAAGGCGCGGATGCCCTGACTGTGTGGATCCTGTCTGTGTGGCCCCTGGCACGCTGTGACCTCCTGCAGCACCGCACTTGCAGTGCTGGCTTTGATAATGGAGTTACTTTTAGGCTGATCTGCCTCCTAGCAAAATGCCTGACACCGAGTAGGTGCCTGGTAAGCACTGAGTAAAGACTGGCATTGAGTAAGAGACTTAGAAAAAGACGAGAAGTAGACAGGTGACCCTCCCAGGAGGAGACGTGGTCCGCAGCTGGCTGCACTGCAGTGTCCAGGGTGAGCGCCTGTCACACATGTACCTGTGAAAGGTGTAGCACGCAGACTTTCCCATCTCCTCTGTCCAGTGAAACTCGGGGCGGAATCAGCCGTAAAATACGAGACCAGAGTGATGCGGGATTCAGAAGTGTGTGTGGAATCTCATTCACCAGAATTTCAACATGGATTTTATTTTTAAGGATGGAAAAATAGAAGCAGAAGATTTCACAAGCAGGTTATACCGAGAACTTAATTCTTCACCTCAACCTTACCTTGTGCCTTTCCTGAAGGTAATTTCAAAGGCCCCGGTGCCTGCGAGCAGTAGGGCCAGGGAGGGGTGGGGCGCAGATGCACCAAGTGTGCAGGGCGAGGATGCTCCAGGCACGGAGGGTGCACAGCGCTTGTGCTGCCTACGGGGGTGGGGCCGGGGACTCAGTGCCTGGGGACAGAATGTTAGTTTTTTTTCTGTAAAGCAGGAGCTCCCCTGACACGGTGGCCTTGTGGTTCTGTCGTGCGCAAGGTGGTGAGAAGGGCGTGTGCTTCCTGAAAGTGAAGGGGACGGGGAATGGGGTAGCGTTTGCAAAACTGGATAGGACCAAGGGTTTCAACAGCGTCAGGCTGTCTCTGTTGGGTAATCATTGGTATCAGCACATTTTAAAAATCAATACGTATATTTGTACACATTTATGAGGTGTATGTGATGTTTTGTTACAGTCATAGATAGAATCAGGATATTTGGGGTCTGTCACCTTGAGTACTTATTTCCATGTGTTGGGAACATTCAGAATCTTCTCTTCCAGTGATGTTAACATATTTTAAAAAGTTTTTTAAAAATATGTCTCTTTTTGTTTGTTTTCTTGAACACATTTTGGACATTTGCTATCAGGAATAATCCCACTTAGTGGGAGGGCAGGATGGGGTCCTGGCCCTTGACATCCAGACATGCTGCCGTGAGGGCCAAGATCCATCTTACTTAGCTCAAAAGCTTTCTGTAAAAGTTGATATTTCTGAATTTTTAAGCAAGGAAAACCGACGCATGAGCAGCCGCCTGACCCCTCGTGTCTGTCTTTCCACCCAGAGGAGCTTACCCGCCTTGAGACAGCTGACCCCCGACTCCGCGGCCTTCATCCAGCAGAGCCAGCAGCAGCCGCCACCGCCCACCTCGCAGGCCACCACTGCGCTCACGGCCGTGGTGCTGAGTAGCTCGGTCCAGCGCACGGCCGGGAAGACGGCGGCCACCGTGACCAGTGCCCTCCAGCCCCCTGTGCTCAGCCTCACGCAGCCCACGCAGGTCGGCGTCGGCAAGCAGGGGCAACCCACACCGCTGGTATGGAAGGGGCGCCTGACTGGTCTGCACAGCCCACCGTGCCTCTGCTCCCGCCCGCTTCTTAGATAAATTGGCCACGGCTCAGAAACCTTTTCCAAGCATGCAGGAAGCCTCCTGCTAGAGGAAGCTTGGGTATTACCTTAAATAGTTAAAATAGAAACCAGAGGTTGAGGCCCTGGGATGTTGTATTTTGTCTCAGTAAAATGAAATAGTTGAGTTGGCTTTGAACCACCGGCACGTCCCCGCCCTGCCTTGTCTGGGGATGTTACTGGTGTAAATGAATGCAGCGTGCTTTTAGAGGATCTTGTAGATAGATGTTCTCTTGGATTAGGAGCAGCGGTCCAAGCGTAAGACACGGGCACCTGCGTGGGACAGGTGGGCAGGAGACTGGAGGCAGGGTAGCAGCTCACAGCACAGGGTGGATTTAGGTGAGTCCCGGGAGGCGAAGCCGCGGCTGCTCATAGCGGTTCACTTATGTGCAGTTTGGATCTGGCTTTCTTGGTTTTATAGTCATGACGTTTGCTCTGCAGCTAGAGAAAGGATGTCTTTGCCAGAAGAATTACATTTTGAGCACATTCCCTTTCATGGGCAGAGGGATTCACCAAACGTAGAGGGGCAGTTTTAAAAAAATTTCAGAGGTGTTTTCTTCCTCTAAAGACAGCTTAAACAACAAAATGGTGCGGGCTCCCTCATCATGAGCTGGTATGTGTTGTGATGGTGTACACATCAGAACCAGCTGGGTGAGGAGTAGCCATTAGGGGGCTGGCTCTTGTGCTCTGTTCAAGTTGCATTTGTTTTTGTCTTGATAATAGCGAGGAGAACAGGGTGAAATGGCATGGAGGGAGGGTGTCCCTTATAAAGGCCAGGGAAGGGCTGAGCGCCTGTGTAAAGAGAGGGCTTCCTTGCCTGCCTTTTGACTCCAGAGGGAAAGAGATGTGCCGTGCCTCTTGCTTTAGTGTAAGGACAGAACTTCCCTGTTCACTAGTCAGTGGAGCTACTTTACCCAAAAAGGTGGGTTCTGTTTAAGCAGGCACAGCCTGTGGGCAATCATTTTCTTGCCAAGTTTTGACCTCTGGTGCTTAGTCACACACAAGCAGCATGGGTGTTTTTAGAATTAGGTGCTGTGTTTGGCAGCAGGATCACCTCTGCATTCTGCTTCCCTGGGCTCCTCCTGACCACGTGTGAGTCTGCAGAGCACAGCCAGTGGGATCCAGGGCATCCAATCCATTGCCTGCACCCTGAAGCCTGTGGAGGCAGAACCCAGGCTTCTCCCTGATTCGATGACAGGCTCCCTGCACCGCAGGGCCTGGCCCGGGCATTTGATGGCAGGTTCCCTGCGCCGCAGGGCCTGGCCTGAGCATTGCCTGAGCTGCCTGAGGCTCTTCCTGTCCAGTGTGGGTGTTCCTGTTTCGTTGGAGACATGTTTGCATTATAGGCCGCTTCCCCAGGTCCCCACACATGTTCTGCAGCATAGAGTTTACCTGCCAGGGCACCTTTGCAAAATGGTAGCGACTAAATTCTGAAGCACCTGGGCCCAGAGGTTTGAGGCCAGGCCTTATGGACTTGAGCATTGGCTTTTGACAAGGATGCCAGTGTCTCTAGGCCCCAGCATCCTGGGGACAGGGCCAGAGCATAGGCCATGGTCAGTGCTGCCAGGTTTTGGATCTCTGCCTTGTGCCGGAGGTGAGAGTGAGAGGCAGGATGACAGCAGAGCTGGGCAGACCCTGCCACGAGGGGCCCAGCAGGGGCTGGGCGGACAGAGCTGGCCATGCTGGGAGCAGTGGGTGGAGGCCCTTGAGGGCCAAGTTCAGGCAGGACTTAGGAACTCTAACCCCACTCCAGTAGAAAAGCCCTCAGCCGCCTTACAGAAAATTCAGAAAGGGAGCTGGGTTTGGTAGCTCATGCCTGTAATTCAGCACTTTGGGAGGTCAAAGTGGGAGGATCGCTTGAGCCTAGGAGTTCAAGACCAACCTGGCCAATGTGGTGAAACCCCATCTCTACAAAAAAAAAATTACAAAAATTAGCCAGACATGGTGGGTGCCTATGGTCCCAGGTGCTCGGGAAGCTGAGGTGTAAGATCACTTGAGCCCGGAAGGCAGAGGTTGCAGTGAACCGAGATCATGCCACTACACTCCAGCCTGGGCGACAGAGCGAGACTTGTCTCAAAAAAAAAAAAAAAAAGAAAAGAAAAGAAAAAAGAAAATTCAGATGAGATAGAACCACTTGACCTGTAGCCACCAGGCAACAATGTCACCTCTGCTAATATTTGGGGGGCAGTGGTCTGCTCCATCCTGGGTTGCTGAGGTCAGCAGGCATCAGTTTGCCACCCGCCCCCTCCAGGCCCTGACCAATGCCCAGGGGCAGCTTCTAGGCAGCAGATCTGCTCCCGCTTGCCCCTTCTGTGCTCACACGGGCACCCCTCGCCCACGTCCTGCCCTGGTCTGGCCGAGTCCATGGCCAGAGCATGGTCCTGCAGCCTGCTGGGGCTGAGCTGCACACGGGGTCTTCCTAGGACTTCTTACTGGGGGCGTGGGGTGCAAAGGAAGGGAAGGGAAGAACCTCCTGCTAGGGACTGAGTGGCCCCTGGCCCTCGGGGAGCATGCTCACCATTCTCTGCTGGCTCTGCCTCAGGTCATCCAGCAGCCTCCGAAGCCAGGAGCCCTGATCCGGCCCCCGCAGGTGACGTTGACGCAGACACCCATGGTCGCCCTGCGGCAGCCTCACAACCGGATCATGCTCACCACGCCTCAGCAGATCCAGCTGAACCCACTGCAGCCAGGTGAGGGCCTCGCGGGCCCCTGGCCGCTCAACACCAAGGGCTGCTCCCAGAGCCAGCTGCCATTGGGCTTTTATTTAATTGGGTAAAATGTACATTTACATAAAATTGGCCATTTTAAGTATCTAGTTCAGTGGCACTGATTTCATTTACTGTGTTGTGTAACCATCACCACTGTCAGTATGATTTTTAATTTTATGTATTTTCCATGGTTAGCTTCTTTATCTGTAATCATTCCTGCACTTTAAAAACCTTGATGAAATACAGGAAAATAAATGCTCGAGAGGTACAGCTTACACTTTGTACTGTAATTTAGAGTTATTAATATGAAGTTTTTGGAAACTTTCTTGTAGCTAATTAGGAGAGTGGTAGCTGTGCCCTTGAGCCTGTAAAGCACCAAAGCACATAGTTGATCTAATAAAAGCCTTGTGTGGTTTCCACTGTGTGTTTGTTTTGTAGTCCCTGTGGTGAAACCCGCCGTGTTACCTGGAACCAAAGCCCTTTCTGCTGTCTCGGCACAAGCAGCTGCTGCACAGAAAAATAAACTCAAGGAGCCTGGGGGAGGTTCGTTTCGGTAAGGAATGGGCCTGTGTACGTTGGAGAAGCGTGGCCAGAGCGGAGAAGAGTCCAGAGTCCGTGCTGCTCCATTCCCGCCCACGGGTCTTTCCCACGTGGCCCTGGCGGCCGGGGCTCCAAGGCTCCTGCTTCACGCTCACTTTGACCTCACGTTCACACAAGTGTGTTTTCCCATACAGTTGGCTCAAAGAGGTTTTGCTTCATACACATAGCCAGAAAGCGAATCAACTGATTATTTTTATATGAACTAATAGGAAATTCATTTTTTAGTATAACATCGTATTTTGAGTTCATTGCATTCCTAGTATAGAATGCTTCACTTTCCATGTATTCAACTTCAGAACCCTCAGAAATGCTGTACTGCTCCAGGCGTAGTGGCTCACGCTTACAGTGCCAGCACTACAGGAGGCTGAAGTGGGAGAATCGCTTGAGCCCGGGAGTTTGAGACCAGCCTGCACAACATAGTAAAACCTTACTCAACAACAACAAAAAATAAAAAATTAGCCAGGCTTGGTGGTGTGTGCCTGTGGGCCTAGCTACTTGGGAGGCTGAGGCAGGAGGATCACTTCTGCCCAGGAGTTCAGTGTTACAGTGAGCTATGGTTTTAGCAGTGTACGCCAGCGTCGGTGACAGAGTGAGGCCCTGTTTCTAGAAAAATAACTGCTGTGCTTTGCCTGGGCCTCCTGGAAAGCAGGTGGTCTGAGCATCACCTCAGTCAGGGAGGTGCTTATGGGACCTGAGCAGTGGGAGAGTCTTGGAGTGATCTCTGTTGTGATCAAGGGGCGGTGGAGTTGTGTGTATTTCAGGAAGTCTTACTGTGAATTTTCCCTTTCCCAGACACTTCATCCCTAAAGGCATCAGGCAGGGCATAGCAGGCCTGGGGAGTGGCTGTGGCCTGAGCCAGAGTCCCAGCCCAAGCAGGGAGAGGTGGCCAGCATGCCTGGGCCCAGCGTGACGCTGATACTTCAGTGAGAAGGGAGGGCACTTAGGGACATACACGGGTGAAAGAATTAATCAAGGCTGCAGGAAGCCTTGGTATTTTGCTGTCAAGGAGTCAGCGGCCTGGCAGAAGGGATAAAGGAGAGTGACCCCTGTGGGCTGGCTCAGGATTGGAATGCTGACGCAAACCCCTGGGTTTCAGTGTGTCGGCAGGCATGGATAACCATGGGTCTTGCCGTAAGTTTCTAGCTTTGTTCACCGCAGGGTCCTGGGAACAGTAACGCCCCAGTAACACTGAGCACACCTAGTGTTCAGATGTTGTCTTCTAAAAACCGTTTTCCACTAAAATGACAAGGACTCCTGAGAGAAAAGGCTGATTGCGGGACTGGGATAAGGAAATACAAGATGAGCGGAGACCGTCCTGTGTCAGAGAGCAGTGGACATGGGCATGACGTGGACGTGGATGTCAGCAGAGCAGCCTCCCTCCCATGGCCGGGTCCTTCAGCTGGAGCCCTAAGCTGTGCAGCCCAGCCACAGCCCGTGACCACCAGGGATGCCAAGACCCTGAGTGAGCACCTGGAGCCCATAGGAGGACTGGGCATGAGAACTGCTGTAGAGCTCTTCCCCGAGACACAACGACCCCAGGAGACGCCAGGCAGGCCCCCGGCCTCACGTTCAAAGCCCACTGCTGGAGGCGGCAAGTGGAGGCTGCGTGCATGTGGAATTCCCGGCAGGACTCTTAGCTCACATCTCCTCACGAGGGGGCCGAAGTCAGCCTGGAAGAGGACGTCCTGCACACAGCTGGCCTGTGCCTTCCAGGTGTCAGGGGCAGCCCAGGAGTCAGGAGAGGCTGAGGAACCTTCCAGCTTGAGGAGCCGGACAAGACGTGGCAGCTGGGATTGGGATGCAGACTGTCCTGCAGGGAGAGGCGCTGCTGGGACCGGGTCCTACGGGGGAGGGCCTGGGGAGGGGCCATTCATCATGGCCCGGTCTCAATGGCATCCTGCTTCTGGAGGGGATGCCCTTGTCTGTAGGAAACACGTGCAGAATGTTCCGGGTGGAGGAAAGTCAGGTTAGCAACTTTCAGGTGATTCAGGAAAAAATTGTGCGTACTCTTCTTCCAACTTCTGAGCCTTTAAAAAGAATTTAATGCTGCCTCTGGCTTTAAAAAGCTTTGCATAGATCAGACCCCCACAAGTCCCCGCGCTGCTCCCGGCTTTGCTTTCTCTGGACTTGAGTCCCCTGCGCATCTGTGTGTAGATGTTAACCCGGCGCCAACTCACAGCTCTCCTTCCGCAGAACAATCGAGCTTTCCAGGAAAGCAGCGAGGCACCCTCTCTGCTGTGGCAGATGCAGCAGGTGCAGGTGCGGGGAGGACAGAGGCCTGGCCTCCTCACGGCCCTGCCTTCCACGTGGGGTTTCCTGCCCTTACCACCCCAGCCCACCTCCCGATGAATTCCTTGTACAGTTAAAGTGATCTTCCCTTCTTTCCTCAAGGGACGATGATGACATTAATGATGTTGCATCGATGGCTGGAGTAAACTTGTCAGAAGAAAGTGCAAGAATATTAGCCACGAACTCTGAATTGGTGGGCACGCTAACGCGGTCCTGTAAAGATGAAACCTTCCTCCTCCAAGCGCCTTTGCAGAGAAGAATATTAGAAATAGGTACGTTGGTGTTTAATGACTGAGTTCTTATTAAACAGCTGCGCTGCTGGGGCATGGGAGCTTCAGGTGAGCACACCTGACACCTGGTCATGTGTTTTGTCTGAGTTTGTGATTTCCACATGGTTGCTGGTGGTGGTTCTTGGGTAAAATATGGGTACCACTGCCTTCCACCCCACCAGCCTTTCTGGGCTCCCCTTGGGTTGTATAAAAGCAGTAACTGCTGGATCAGAGATTAGCCGTAAAGAAAGAACTGTGCTTAATGATTTTAAAATACTGTTTTTCTTGCCTGACCTTTAGGTAAAAAACATGGTATAACGGAATTACATCCAGATGTAGTAAGTTATGTATCACATGCCACGCAACAAAGGCTACAGAATCTTGTAGAGAAAATATCAGAAACAGCTCAGCAGAAGAACTTTTCTTACAAGGTAACAGGCTGTTTGCCGAGGAGAGCGTCTTTATGTTGTTGGCCCCCACTCTCTGCTGGCTGGGAGCCTCCTCCCCACACCGAGGCAGAGGGCGGTGGGTCCCAAGTGCCTCCATGTTCCTTACGAACGTGTTTTGGATTTCTTATAGGACTAGATTTTGGAAAGATTTCTTTTTGAGGTAGGGTCTCACTCTGTTGCCCAGGCTGGAGTTCAGTGGCGCAGTCTTGGCTCACTGCAGCCTCCGCCTCGTGGGTTCAAGCGATTCTTGTGCCTTCGCCTCCCAAGTAGCTGGGATTACAGGCGCACACCACCGTGCCCAACTAATTTTTGTATTTTTAATAAAAGGGACAGGGACTCGCGATGTAGCCCAGGCTGGTCCTAAACTCCTTGCCTCAAGTGATCCTCCTGACTTGGCCTCCTTAAATGCTGGGATTACAGGCATGAGCCTCTATGCCTGGCGGGTTTACCTTTTGGAAGGCACCTGCCTCTCTCTCTGGGCCATGGGCTGAACTGGCAGACCCTGAGGTGCCGCAGCCCTATTCTCATGAAGCAGCTCTTCCAAGTAAAACGTGCCTTCCTCACCAGCAGTCACATATGAACACTCTTCCAAGGGCACACTGGGTGAGGTGGTGCCTGCTGCCACAGCCGGGAGGCAGTGCCTTCAGGGCAGCACTGAAATAAACACACTTAGCCCTTGCTGTAAAAGTAGTTCTGTGTTGCAGCAAAAAAGGTAAATGTTACTTTAAGAAATCTGACAGCATCAAAGTGTATAAAAGGGACACTCTCCCACAAGTGTGCCCCTGAGACAGCCAACACGAGACTTCGTTCTGTGGACGTGAGCATCGATAGAGCTCTCGGGCGCAGCATTTGCAGGGTGGGAGGGATCGGGTCCTCGCCGCATTCAGACTGGACGGAGGGAGGGCGTTGTGCACGGATGGTCCAGTGGTGCTAGACAACCCCTTTGCTTGCTGGGCTCTCAGATTTATGACAAGCAGTATTTTAACTTTCTTCATAGGATGACGACAGATATGAGCAGGCGAGTGACGTCCGGGCACAGCTCAAGTTTTTTGAACAGCTTGATCAAATCGAAAAGCAGAGGAAGGATGAGCAGGAGCGGGAGATCCTGATGAGGGCAGCAAAGGCGAGTGCTGGGTGTCTGCTGCTGCCGTCTGGGCACCTCCGTCTCAGCCACAACCTGATGAGCTCACTGAGACAGTGGGGTTTTGGGTGGTCAGAGCATGTTTTGGGCTGGCCTTGAAGCAAAGGTGATGGGTGCTGTCAGTGGAGCTGCAAAGAGAAGCCTCATTCATTTGGCACTAGCGTAGATGCTTGAAAAGCGGGGCTTCTTAAGATTCCCAGCACCTCACGCTCCACACAGTCACACCCAGGTGTGAAGCACATGTTCCTAGAGCCCCCTGTGTGCGCTGGACTGGACTCTTCACACTCACGTTGTCCTTGTTCTAGAACATTCACAGCCAGGCGAGGCACTGCTCATTAATAGAATCAGACAGGAGACCACAGTTCCCCAGGGACGGGGGTGGGTACTGTGGAGTGGGAGGAGCACTTGCTTTGATCACAGCCACAGGCTGTCCCGTCCCTGGTGTGTGGGACAGGACAGCAAGGAGCCTATGAGGCCCATTCTGCCTGCCATCATGCGGTCACATCAGGTCAAGTCAGAGCCTGCGATTGGTAGATGTGTTTCAAAGACTGTATCTTACATCCAAATGTTACTGACTTTTCTCAAGATTACTGGCTTTTTTCATGGTGTGTGATGTAAATTTTCATCTTTGGCTATAAGCATTTCACAAATTTGCTATGCATTCTTTAACATTACCTAGATGTTATTGTATAGTAAATAAGATAACACATTTGTTAAATGATAAACATTTAGTTCATAACTTACTTTTCTTTTCTGCCTCTTTCAAAAATAGTCTCGGTCAAGACAAGAAGATCCAGAACAGTTAAGGCTGAAACAGAAGGCAAAGGAGGTGAGCCCTGTTAGTCGTGAGTGCTCGTGGGCACTTTGCTGTGCACTGTAGCGCCCCACGGGAGGGGGGCTAAGGAAACCGTGGCACTTCTGTACGATAGGCATTTGCGTGTCTGTTTAAAATGTTTGCCAAGTTTAAATAAATACAACATCAGAGGTATTTTCCTGTGCAAACAGTTGGTGTCCTACTTTTAAATTCAACGGTGACTTCCCTTTGCGGGGGGCATTAGTCTCTGTGCTTTTGACTTGCGTATATTTTCTGAGAGTTTTAAGACAAACATCTGTTGCATTAAAAAAAATCTTATTTTTTGGATTATAGAATATGCTTACTATTGAGAAAGTCAAAACATTAAAGAAGTTATGATTTAGAAAACTACAGAAAACCCTTTCATATCTATGTATTACTTTTGTAGTAAGTAAAAAACATGCAAGAAATGATGCTCCTTGTCTCCTTTTCAAAATAAAAGATGCAGCAACAGGAACTGGCACAAATGAGACAGCGGGACGCCAACCTCACAGCACTAGCAGCGATCGGGCCCAGGAAAAAGAGGAAAGTGGACTGTCCGGGGCCGGGCTCAGGAGCAGAGGTACGGCAGTGTTGTGGGATCGAGGTCCTGGGGGAAACATGGGGAACATCTTAGAGCCACCCTCTTCTAGGGGACGGACACACATAGGGGAATTTGCTTTCTTACCATTTACATTTTGTCTCACCTTTTCTGGAGTATTTGTTTTACGTTTGACATTTTAAATCCAAATCAGCTTATTTGTGGCTATCACTTGAGCTGAAAGTCTTTTTCGTGAGGAAGTTTGATTACTGTGATGAGGTTTAGGCTGGATTTGAAAAGGATGTGGGGAAGTTATAACTGTCAGAAGAATGATCCGAATAGGGATCTTGCTGATTGTGCTTCCTGCACAGTGTCTGTGGGATAAGCTGCTGTAGGAGAATGGACAGTTCGTGGAATGAAGGGGAAGAATTGCTGCCCGCTGCTGTTTCTCCAAATTCCATTAGTTTCTCGTCTATGTTTGTGGTTGTATCTTTTAGTCTAATAATTATAAACCCAGCCTTGACATGTTATTTTTGCTTTCAACTGTCAGTTGTTTTTTTTTAAGTAAATTACAGGAAGAAAGAAAACGGTCTTTTATGTTTCCCTCCTTATTTGCCATCTCCGGTACTCTTCATTCCTTCCCGTGGGTCTGTTTCCGTCTGCCACCATTTCCTTTTGGCTTGAAGGAGAGCTGTTGGGATTTCTTGTGGTGCAGATCTACTGGTGATGGATTCTCTGGTTTTGTTTACTTGAAAAATTGTATTTCACCCTCATTCTCTTTTTTTTTTTTTTTTTTGAGACAGTCTTGCTCTGTCGCCAGGTGGGAGCGCAGTGGCGTGATGTTGGCTCACTGCAACCTCCGCCTGCCAGGTTCAAGCAGTTCTCCTGCCTCAGCCTCCCGAGTAGCTGGGACTATAGACGTGTGCCACCACGCCCTGCTAATTTCTGTATTTTTAGGAGAGACGGGGTTTCACCATGTTGGCCAGGATGGTCTCGATCTCTTGATCTCATGATCTGCCCACCTCGGCCTCCCAAAGTGCTGGGATTACAGGCATGAGCCACCACGCCTGGCCTTCACCCTCATTTTCAGAGGATATTTTTACTGGTTACAAAATTCTGGGCTGATTTTTTCTTTCTTGCGAAACTTTCAAGACCTTGTTCCACTGTCTTCTGATGTCCTGCTGTAATTTTTAATTTTTAATTTTTTTAGACGCAGGGTCTCACTGTGTCACCTAGGCTGGAGTGCAGTGGTACGATCATGGCTCACTGTAGCCTCGACATCCCCGGGCTCAGGTGATCCTCCTGCCTCAGCTTCCCGAGTAGCTGGGACTACAGGTGCGTGCCACCATGCCTGGCTAATTTTGTAGTTTCTTTTTTTTTCGTAGAGACAGGGTCTCACCATGTAGCATGGGCTGGTCCTGCTATAATTTTTAAGCTTGTTCCCTGTACGTGGTATGCTTCATGTCTCTGGCATGACTTTCAATCTTTGTTTTGAGATGTTCTTTATTTTTTAGAGGTTTGTCTGTGTTGTGTTTTGCTGTGGTTCTCTGGATATTCAGTTTAGAGGTTTGTCTGTGTTGTGTTTTGCTGTGGTTCTCAGGATATTCAGCCTGTTTCAGGTTCTCTGAACTTCACAGATCTGTAGGTCAGTGTCTTTCATCAAATTTGGAACATTTTGGCTAATACTTCTTCAAATTTTTTTTTTTTTTTTTTTTTTTTTTTGAGACGGAGTCTCGCTCTGTCGCCCAGGCCGGACTGCGGACTGCAGTGGCGCAATCTCGGCTCACTGCAAGCTCCGCTTCCCGGGTTCACGCCATTCTCCTGCCTCAGCCTCCCCAGTAGCTGGGACTACAGGCGCCCGCCACCGCGCCCGGCTAATTTTTTGTATTTTTAGTAGAGACGGGGTTTCACCTTGTTAGCCAGGATGGTCTCGATCTCCTGACCTCATGATCCACCCGCCTCGGCCTCCCAAAGTGCTGGGATTACAGGCGTGAGCCACCGCGCCCGGCTCAAATTTTTTTTTCCATTTCAATCTTACTTTCTTCTGCTGGGGCTCCAGTTACATGTATGTTAGACCTGTTGATGCTGCCCTGCAGGTCTTTGAGCCTGTGTTCCTGGACTTCAGTCTGTCTTCTCTTTGTTTTCCAGACTGGAAGATGTCTACTGATGTGTCTACGAGGTCCTTGGCAGATGGATTTCTGCCATCTCCAGTTGAAGTTTCCATTTTGTTAACTTATTTTGCAATTCTAAGATTTCCATCTAGTTCTTTTTTACAGTTTATATTTCCCCTAATTCTTTGAGCTTATTATTAAAGCTGTTTTATAAGGTTTTTGTCAAGTTCAACACCTGGGCCATCTCACATTCAGTTTCTCTCGACTGCTGTTTTCCTCGGCCTTGCACACTTTCTTGTCTCCTTGCATGTCTCATGCTTACCTGCCAAGAGACTGGACTCTGTGATCTCCCTTGAAGAGTTGATTCTTGCAGGCGGTTGAGTTACTGGCTGACCATCTTGAGTTTGTGTGGTTTTGTTTTTCATTTTGTCAGTAAGGATCTGGGGAAACCTCAAGGTGTTTCTCAAGCCCCTTTAACTTAGTGGGACTCAAGTTGCAAACTCTGTCTTTCCTGTCTGGGTTTGGCTTTAGGCTTTGCTAAGGTAGGTCTTACTCTAGGGTGTGATCCTTACGTACAAGGAAAGGTCTTGTTACTCGGGCAGGCTGGACTCCCATGCTTCTGGACTGCCCTCTACTCTGCCCGACCCCTGACTTCTCTGTTTCGCTCTCAGCCCCGTGGCAGCTGCTGTCTGATGCACATTGGCTGGTCTTGCACCGCTTCTTGGTATGCAGGTGCACTCTGGGACAGGGTCAGGGTAGTGACCTGATGAGGACAGAGCTCCCCCTCCCCACCAGGACTGTTGGAAATGTGTGGGTGGGATGTCCCAGACCTCCGTGCTGGGGCTCGCCTGCCCACATGCTAGCAGTGACCTCTGAGAAATGGCTGCCTGGTGTGGAGAGGAGGGACTCCAGGTGTAACAGACACTAGAGTTTTGGCAATATGGCATCCCAGAGGTTCAGAGAAATCCCTCCTGGGACAGTACAGGTTAAAATGTCTGGTACAATGTAGGAAGAAAATAAAGATCTTGTCTTTATAAATGCGTGTGTGAGATATAGATAAAATAGGGGGATTCTTCTCTGGGCCAGAAATAAGTAAGTAAGTACAGATTCCCAAGGCTAACACGGGCTCTGGCCACTGTGTGGCTGGGAGTCTTGGCCCGGGATGGGCCCCAGCAGGAACCTGCACTCACCTGGGCCTAGGCCTGAGTGCCCACTGGCTGTGAGGCCCGCAGCCCACGCTGAAAATGTAGTTGTATACCAAGAAAGAACTGAAATTCTGAACAACAACAACATATATCGAGAAGAGCACTTAGAGTTAAGGACTTACTTTTTTGTGGGGGAGGTGAAAGATATTGATTAGCCTTTTTTTTTTTTCCTGGATTTCTTTTATGGTTAACTGAATTCTCAAAGGCATAGATTTTGTAGCCCATCATCAGTTCGAGAACTAGAACGTTGTAATCCCAGCACTTTGGGAGGCCGAGGCGGGTGGATCATGAGGTCAGGAGTTCGAGACCAGCCTGGCCAAGATGGTGAAACCCTGTCTCTACTAAAAACACAAAATTTAGCCGGGCGTGGTGGTAGGCACCTGTATTTCCAGCTACTCGGGAGGCTGAGGCAGGAGAATCACTTGAACCCTGGAGGCGGAGGTTGCAGTGAGCTGAGATTGTGCCACTGCACTCTAGCCTGGGTGACAGAGCGAGACTCCATCTCAAAAACAAAAAACAAACAAAAAAACCAAACTAGAACATGCCAGTCACCTGGGAGATCCCCCACCCTTTTATGTGCCCCACCACATCACAGCTGCTTTTACCTCCCTCCAAAAGTAACTGCTGCCCTGACTTTATGGCAAAGCCAGGAAGAAACGCCAGGACCTGCCAGTCCCCAGTTGTGCAGCGAGACACTGGTTAGCCTTGCCGTCCTTTCCCATTAAACTTGACTTAAAAGGAAACCAGAATTTAACATTTTTAAAAATCTGTAGGGCCCTCCCACCCCTCCATCACTTTCTTTTTCTTACAACTTGTCGGTTGAAGGACCAGGTCGTTTGGCCTGGGGTGTGTCCTGCGTCAGGATTGCTGGCGGTGCCCTTGTGGTGCAGTTCTGCCTGTTCCTCCCTCCTCTGAACTTCCTGCGCGTTGGTGGCTGGACCCAGAGACTCCTCCAACTCTGGCTGCCTCCCTGCGGCAGGACGCTGGCTGCTCTTGTGTCCCCTCATTGCGAGGACACGGGTCTGGGCTGTGCGCCCCGGGGACGGTGGCTGGTCATGCTTCATGCCTAGGGCCACTAGTCCCTTGAGGTTGGAGATGGCGGTGCTCTTAGTCTGTGAGTTCCTTCTCACTTCCTCTTTGGGGTGTTCTTTTGGAGACTCTTCCTCCACTACTGTTTGGCCGCTTGGTGGGTCCAGCTCATAGAGGAGACGCAGGGTAAACGCGAGCATGTTTTCTTCCATATATCCAGGTGAAGATAATGGATCAACAGGTTGTCACCCTCAGAGGGTGACCAGTAGTTTTACGTTTTAGTGTGTTGTTTTTATTTTTTACCGTTGTGATCTCAAGGACTTGCACATAATCCATCTATTACAGTTCTCATTTTGGTTGCAGTTCAGACTGTGCCATCTTTGGCCAATGGAAGCATCTCCAGGTTGGTTCCTGAGTCACGCTGGGACGTGGGGCTGATGTCCTTGCCGTCTGGACGTTAACATGTGTCAGGCTCACCTTACACCTTTCCTGTTTCAGACCGAAAAAGTCATTTCTCCAAGAACTGGTTTCTTCTAGTGGGAAATGGCGTTTGAAGACCACTCGCTGGGACTAGGGATGTCATTGCTGCTGGGGTGGGTTGGCCTTTTCAGTGGACAGCACTGGGAAATGTGTGTAAAACATGGTCTCATGGGCTTATATGGGTATTTCCAATTCAGGTAGTTCAAATTCAGAGGTGTAGGAGTTACCATGTTCAAAATGACGTCTTTATCTTCACAGTAAGAATTCTGGCTCTTGGCTGCCCCAAGGGCTTGGGGGGTGGGGAATTGGAGGGGAGGGCAGGAGAAGGAGAGATTAAAATAAAAGGATCCTGGTTATGGACATAGGAGATAATAGAATTAAAATATCTCCTACCTTTGGACATAGCCTGAGAATAAGAATATGGGCACTCCTGCCGAGGGTGGTGAAAACAGCCGAAAGTTGTTCATGTGCTTTCTCCCTTGGCCCCGTTTTGTATTTTGTGCTGTATTTATGTTGTCGAAACATTTAGCTGTTACACACCATAAGCTCTCCCTTTCGCCCTCTTTGAGTTTTAGTGCCATAAATAATGACATGTTTAATGCCGTGACTCGTCTTTATGTTGTGTCTCTGTAGTCATTTTGATTTTTCCAAATCTCATTCTCTGCTAGATTCTTTTGGAACGCTTCATGGGAGCAGCCACTCCCAAGTTCCCACCTGCTGATGAGTTTGTGCCCTTTGTACCTGAAGGTCTGTTTTTTGGCTCACGTTGTATTTACTGAAGTGTCTTAAGGATGTTACTCTGGATTATTTCCTCCCTAAAGTGTTACTGTCCAAATCTAATGAGAGCCTCATTTTACCTCCTGTAGGCCACGTGTTTTTCTTCCCTGGGTGTCCTTTTTCTCGGAAGCCGGCTCATCCCACTGGAGTGCGTGCTGGGCTTGGTTGTGCTGGGGTGGTGTTCTCAGTACTGGCTGTGTTCTTTCAGTGCGGTTCAAGTCTCCTTAGGAACATCTGCAATAATGATCCTTTGTGTTTGTTCTGTTCTTTTGTTTCTTTCTTCAGAGAGTCCCATTTTCCACGTGTTGTATCTTCTTTGCCTGCTGGAGCACTTTTTACAGTCTCTTAATTTTTAAAATCTCTCTCTCTCTTTTTTTTTGTTTTTTGGTTTTTTAGAGACAGGGTCTCTCTCACCCATGCTGGAGTGCAGTGGTGTGATCACAGCTCACTGCAGCCTCGACCTCCAGGGTTCAAGCAGTCCTCCCACATTGGCCTCCCTAAATGCTGCTGAGCCACTTGTGTCCAGCCTAATTTCTCTCTCTCTTTTTTTTTAATTTTTATTTTTTGAGACAGAGTCTCCCTCTGTCACCCAGGCTGGAGTGCAGTGGCTCTATCTCGGTGTGATCTCAGCTCATGGCAACCTCTGCCTCCTGGTTTTCTTCTGCCTCAGCCTCCTGAGTAGCTGGGATTACAGGTGTGCACCACCACACCCAGCTAATTTTTTTGTATTTTTAGTAGAGACAGGGTTTCACCATGTTGGCCAGGCTGGTCTCAAACTCCAGACCTCAAGTGATTTGCCCGTCTCAGCCTCCCAAAGTGCTGGGATTACAGGTGTGAGCCATTGTGCCTGGCCTAATTTTTCTCTTTTTTAAAAAATTATCTTTTTTGTCCTTTTTGGCTTCCATTTCTCTTAAGGCGTGATTTGCTGTTTACCTGCTGTTTTGAGTATGTGTTTCTGAGGTCTTCTGTGGTCTGTAGGGATGCTCTTCTGCTTTTTATCCTCTTTTTCTCTCATGGGAGCCTGTCTGGGATTTGACCTGAATGTCTTTCTGTTGCTAATTTCGACGTGAGTTTAGGTTTCTCGAACTTGTAACAGGACACGTGGTTTGCAGCGTTTGCTGACTTTGTGGTGCTCCTCTGTGGTTACTTTCCCGTGATGTTAAGAACGGGAGTCCTCAGCGTCTGTGGCTCCGGGGCTCTGTGCACCTCCCAAGCATCTGGACTTTGCTTTGCCTTCCTTGTCCCTGTCCTGCTCAGTACTGATTCACTCCCAGCAGGTTCTCTCCTGCGTGAGGCCCTGTGCTGCAGGAGCCCTGGCAGGTCAGTGTGGGCATTTGCGGTGGCCAGGCTGCCCTCCCTGGTCCTCCCCTGCCCCAGGTTTGACTGCGGCTCTTGGAGGGACCTGCTGCTCTTCCCAGGAAGTCTGCTGGCTCCTGGGTCCAGGCCCGTCGGGGTCCAGTTCTGCAGCGTCCTTCAGGTGATGGCTGCTTGTGGTTCATCTTCATCAGTTTTGTTCTAAAGATTGTCCGCTGGCTTTTGGTTTTGCTGTGTCGTTGCTCTTTTATGTGGAACTTTGGGAAGATCCAGAAACTATGCTACCCCTGTCATCGTCTTCCAGAATACATTAACTTTGAAAATTACTTATTTTAGTTTGAAGTAGTTTTCAAATCTACAGAAAAGTTGCAAGAACAGAGTAAGGAGCTCCGTGCAGACTCCGGTGTATGAGCATCACGCTGTCTGCTTCGTCCCCGCTACACCACATGTGTTTGCGTGCACTCCTGTACTTTTTCAATATGTACACTTTAATCCTTGTTCTGACACGATACCCAGCACCCTAAATGCTCGTGCGGCTGATACCTTAGGTGGCTACTAGGCAGCCCTCCTGGTCAGGTGCTTAGCACTGATGCTACCACCCCCAGCATAGCACTTGCTGTGGGCTGTGTTTCTCCACAGCGTCGTGGCCGATTCCCATGGCCGTGTTAGCATTTCACACGTTCCCACCTCACACAGATGCCCCACCCTTATCGCACCTCCACCCACAGCCTCAATGTTATTAACCGCCTGCCTGTGTCGCCACCCCTGGGGCTGCTCAGTCGTGGGGATGCTTCAGGCACCCCTTCTGTTACTGCTGGTTGCCCTCTGCTGGGAAGCAGAGCTTCGCCCCTCCTCGTTGGTTTATTCGTTCGCTCATGGATTCGTTCACTCACTGCAGTGCTGTGGATGCCAGGGTCCCTCATTCACTCACTCACTGCAGTGCTGTGGGTGCCGGGATCCCTCATTCACTCACTCACTGCAGTGCTGTGGGTGCCGGGATCCCTCATTCACTCACTCACTGCAGTGCTGTGGGTGCCGGGATCCCTCATTCACTCACTCACTGCAGTGCTGTGGGTGCCGGGATCCCTCATTCACTCACTCACTGCAGTGCTGTGGGTGCCGGGATCCCTCATTCACTCACTCACTGCAGTGCTGTGGGTGCCGGGATCCCTCATTCACTCACTCACTGCAGTGCTGTGGGTGCCGGGACCCCTGTTGTGTTTGGTGGGCTCTGATCAGCACTCTCATTATTTCTAGGCTTGCTTGGTGGGAGCTTCTTGTGGCTGGAGTCTGTATCCTTTGACACTTCCCTCGTCTGTGGCATTCCTTATTGCCACGTGCACTTTCCCTGCCCACTCTGCAGCTTCCCCTGGTTCCTCTAGTAGAGTCTGGTGTTGAGAGGCCAGGATCGGGGCACTTGGTGTGCTGATTGCTGGGGCCCCTGCTCCCAGGCCGTGCCAGCAGCCAGAGCTCGGGACCCAAATGCATGTAGGGGAGTGTGTGGTGTGCGCCCTTCCATGTCGAAGGGGTCCTGTGTGTTCGTGTTGAGACTACGGTCCTTGCCTAGCACGCCAGGGCTTCCGTTTAGCCGCCCCCATCCTTGTCTATTGGTCCCTTCTCAGACAGTGAGGAACCTGGTTCCCATCATTCAGTGTATTTGTTTTTTTCTTCCGTGTAACCAGCTTCCCAACCATTTTACCTGCTGGGGTCGCGGCGCCAGGAGGGAGGATTGGATGGGAAAGGCACATTGATGAACTTTGGATGTGAGTGTTAACGTGTGTGGAGTAGCCTCTAGGGAAGAGTAAGGGAGCTCGTGCGTCCTCACTCATGAGAAGGGCCGGGGTGTGGGGCTGGGAGGTACGTGGAGTATCGAGAACGCCGGACCTGGAGGACCCAGGTGAGGCACTGCCGAGTGGGTGAAGATTGGCGCCGGCGTCTGTTTGGGGAGCAGTTGTTTCGCAGTTGTTTCGCTTGCCTTTTGTGAACTTTGGGGATCTTTGTGTGTTATCTGTGTAACAATTCACACAAAACCCAGAAAGTAAAAGTCCTTCAGACACCTTTCTTCATCAAAGATGATGCTCAGTCATTCTTTTCTTCTTGTAGGATACCTCTTAAGGGTAAGTCTTCTTTTTTTAACTTTTACTTTTGAATTCTATACTTACAGGAAAGTTACAGAAATAGTACAGAGAGTTTCCATCTACCCCTCACCCAGTTTAGCCTCATGTTAAACGTGGGTATGATACTGTTCATTGAAGACCTTATTTGATTTTTTCCCTTAATTTAACTTTAAATAAATTAATAAACTATTTTTTAGAGCAGTTTTAGGTTCACGGAAAAAGGAGGGGACTTTTTTAGTACAGAGACTTCCCATACCCTCCTCCCTGCAGGTGCACAGCCTCCCCCGCTTGGCCGGGTGGTGCGTTTGTTAGAATCCATGAACCCACGTCAACACGTCCTTCTCACCCAGCTTCCATAGTTCCCATCAGGGTGCACTCTTGGTGTGTACATTCTGTGGGTTTTGACAGCTGTAGAATGACGTGTTTCCACCAGTACCGTATCATGTGGAGTCGTTCCACAGCCCTGAATTCCTCTGTGCTCTGCCCGTTCATCCCTCCCCTCCTGTCAGTCCCTGGTCCACGGATCTTATTGTCTCCTAGTTTCGCCTTTTCCAGAATATCATGTGGTTGAAATTATGCAGCCTTCTCAAACTGGCTTCTCTCATTTAGGAATATCCACCTGAGGTTCCTCCGTGTTTTTTCATGGCTTGATGGCTCATTTCTTTTCAGCACTGAGCACTATTCCAGTGTGTGGCTGTGCCACAGTTTATTTTATCCACTCACCTACTGAAGCACATCGTGGCTGCTTGCAAGTTTTGGCAATTATGAAGAAAGCTGGTATAAACATCTGTGCGCAGGATTTCGTGTGGACATAAATTTTCAGCCCCTTTGGGTAAATACCAAGGAGCACGATTGCTGGACCGTGTGGTAAGAGCACGTTTAGTTTTGTAAGAAACCGCCAGACTGTCTTCCAGCAGCCGCGCCATGTTGCCTTCCCAGCAGCCACGGCTGAGGGTCCTGTTTCTTCACATCCTCGCCAGCGTTCGGTGCTGTCCGTGTTCTGGGTTTTGGCCGCTCTAGTAGGTGTGTGCATCTTGTTTTAATTTGCATCTCCCTGGTGACGGAGGATGCGGAGCAGCTTATTGTTGATATTGTTGAGTTTCAGGAGTTCTTGGTATATTTTGGATAATAGTCCATTATCAGATGTGTCTTTTGCAAATATTTTCTCCTTATTCGATTCTTACCAGTGTCCTCGACGTCCTTTCCTGCCCCGGGACCCTCGCGGCTCCTCGGCTCCTTGGTCTCCTCTGCTTGGTGGTAGCTGCTCAGTCTTTCCTGGTCTTTGATGGCCTTGACGTGCTGGAGAGCTCTGGTCCTTGTCTGGTGGACGTTTCCTTAGTTTGCGTTTGTCTGGTGTCTCCTCGTGATGACGTCCAGGCTGTAGAATCTCAGTTAGAATGCCGCGGGCCGGCTGGCGTGTCCTCAGAGCACTGGATTGGGAGGCAGGTGGTGTCGCCTGGCTGTTGCTGCTGCTGCTGCTGACTTTGAAGCTTGGTTAAGGTGGGGTTGGCTGGTTACTCCATTGTCGAGTTACTCTTTTTCTCTGTGTAATTAGTAGGTATCTCAAGGAGACACTTGGAGGCTGCTGATACCATTTCTTATCAGGCCTTTGGCCCCTGCGTGGGCATTCGCAAGGACGCTGCCAGTGGAGGCTGCTGTGGCGTCTGATGCTGACTTTCTATTTCTGTCTTTCTGTTTACATTTATTAATTGGAATTCTGTAAAGAGAGCTGCCCCGTCTCCCTTATTTTTCCCACTTGTTAATTCATTCAGTTACTTACTTATATTAGCATGGATATTTATTTTTTTCTGTAGGTAACAAGCTGCTGCTACAGTTTATTTATTTTGTTGCTTGAGCAGCCCGGCTCTGGCCATCATGAGCTCCTTCAGGTTAGTTCCATGTCCTTGTGACACGACAAGAGGATTTGGTGACTTTATGACACCACAGAATGTTCCAGCACATCTTCTGTTTTCCATGATTTCTTGGAGGGGCATTGCTTCCTTTGACTGGGGATGGTGTTTCCTTTGATGGGGGATGGTGTTTCCTTTGGTTGGGAATGGTGTTTCCTTTGATTGGGGATGGTGTTTCCTTTGATTGGGGATGGTGTTTCCTTTGATTGGGGATGGTGTTTCCTTTGGTTGGGGATGGTGTTTCCTTTGATTGGGGATGGTGTTTCCTTTGATTGGGGATGGTGTTTCCTTTGATTGGGGATGGTGTTTCCTTTGATGGGGGATGGTGTTTCCTTTGATGGGGGATGGTGTTTCCTTTGATGGGGGATGGTGTTTCCTTTGGTTGGGGATGGTGTTTCCTTTGGTTGGGGATGGTGTTTCCTTTGATTGGGGATGGTGTTTCCTTTGATGGGGGATGGTGTTTCCTTTGATGGGGGATGGTGTTTCCTTTGATGGGGGATGGTGTTTCCTTTGATTGGGGATGGTGTTTCCTTTGGTTGGGGATGGTGTTTCCTTTGATGGGGGATGGTGTTTCCTTTGATTGGGGATGGTGTTTCCTTTGATGGGGGATGGTGTTTCCTTTGATGGGGGATGGTGTTTCCTTTGGTTGGGGATGGTATTTCCTTTGATTGGGGATGGTGCTTCCTTTGGTCGGGGATGGTGGTTCCTTTGGTCGGGGATGGTGCTTCCTTTGGTCGGGGATGGTGGTTCCTTTGGTCGGGGATGGTGTTTAGAACCATACTCTGGGCAGCAGGTGTGCTCATTGCTCCTGGGGTGTCCCTGCATCCAGGCCTTCCAGGTGGACTGGGGCATGTGCACACACACAAACACTCGTCTGCACCTGCACCTGTGCTGAACACAGCGGCCTTCTCACTTCTCCTCAGGCCTCAGGATCTAGTCTGACGTCACAGGCTCATTCTAGCTTCCCTCGTGCCTTACATGGGAACCTGGTTCTCATCCCCCACAGTAGATGTACTTCTGTGTTCAGTTCCAACATACAGATAAAGGACCTTCGGGATTGCCAGGCAGTGTGAGAAACAAACGTGCTAACTACCTGGAGTGTAGCATTTCTGTGCGGCCCTTTTATTTAACCTCACAGGTCAAAATAGTACATTTCAAATTTACATAGATGAGTATTGTTCTTGTTTATCCTTTCATTTTTACTTTTTATGTTTAAATTTTTATTATTTGTTTTTAGAGATGGAGTCTTGCTCTGTGTCCTGGGCTGGCCTGAGGCTCCTAGACTCCAGCAATCCTCCTGCCTCAGCCCCCACCAGGAGTTGGGACTGCAGGCACACACAACCAGGCCTGGCTTCCTGCCCACCCTTCAGTGTGGCCGTCATTCACCTGCAGCACAGCTCGGGTTTAGTCCCTCAGTGTGGCCGTCACTCACCTGCAGGACAGCTCGGGTTTAGTGGTTACTGTTTGTGTTCCTGTTGGTTTCCTCCAAATCTTGGTTGATTTTTTGTTTGTGAGAGGTGGAGCGTTGCCATGGTCCGGAGAGTCAGAACTGTACAAAAACGTATAGAAAGAAGTGCCCCTTGGAGTGGTGTCCTGCCACACCCTCCACCCATCCTCCCACCCCCTGCCCCGTCCTCCTGCTGCGCCCTCCCTCCCCCCACCACATCCGTCCTCCCCCTTCCGCCCCCTCCCACCCCCGCCACCCCTGCCCTCCTCCCACCTTGCTCGCCCTCCTCCTGCTGCACCCTCCCTAGTCCTGCTGCACCTTCCCTCCTCCTGCCCTGTCCCCGTCCCTCCATTTTTGCATCCCGTTTCTACTCACCATGCAAACAGATGAGCTCCTGCATCTTTTTCCTTCCCTGGCAGTGCAGCACAGGTCAGTGACAGTCTCTCGCTCTCTGCAGCTGACAGAGTTCCCGGGCACTGCCCTCGTGTCACTGCATCAGGAGCTTCCTCTTTCCCAGCTGGGTGCTGATGTCCCGGGCACTGCCCTCGTGTCACTGCATCAGGAGCTTCCTCTTTCCCAGCTGGGTGGCACTTCATCGTGCTGATGTCCCGGGCACTGCCCTCGTGTCACTGCATCAGGAGCTTCCTCTTTCCCAGCTGGGTGGCACTTCATCCTGCTGATGTCCCGTAGCTTTTCACCCTCTCTCGTGTGCACATCTGGGCTGTCGACACGGTGACAGGTGATGCCATCAAGAGTCGCCTTGTACGTGTGTCTTCGTGCTGTTGGAGGCCTGCTGTTGGGGCTGAGTTCCGAGAGATGGGATTGCTGAATTGAGGGGTTGGTGCGTGTGCACTTGTGTTAGGTTTTGCCAAGTCCCCCTGTTGCGTGTGAGAGAGGCAGCTCTTTCCCCAGCCTCACACGTGTCCCACGTGTGTTGTCATAGTTCTTGTGTTTGCTGGTCTGGGTGGTGCAGTCAGCGTCTGTGGGTGTGCTGTGGGTGCGTAGGGCTGAGGCACGTGATGAGCGGGTGGACATCCCCGAGCCGCTCCTCAGTGATGAGGTCGCTCAGTCTTCCGGCTGCTGGCTTAGTTTTGTCCACTTGACCTGTTCTGCGGCAGGCATGCTGTTCCATGACTGCTGCTAGCATGTTTCTGTCTCGTCGCATCTCCTGCGTTTTTATTGGTAGGGGCTGCTGTGTTGTTTGGTGCATAAATATCCACGTGTCATATCTTCATTGGCAGCTGTGACTTTTTGCATTAGAAAGTATCTGTCTTTGTCACACGTCAGACCGTCACCCTGGGTGTCTTTCTTGTCCCCCAGCCTACAATCCCTGAGATCCTTACTTTTCACCTTCTGAATCACTTTGTTTTCCGTGTCTCTCTGTAGCATATGGTTTGGTCTCAGTTTATGAGCTGAATTGAAAATCTTTCTCTTTTAATAGGTGAGTTAAGCCCATTTACCTTTATTGATAGGACTGACATGTTTTGTCTTGACTCTATCATAATATTTTATAATTATGTAAATTTTTATCTATCTTTTGAGACATGGTTTCACTGTCACCCAGGCTGGAGTTTGGTGGCGTGATCATAGCTCACTGCAACTTTGACTTTCTGGGCTTAAGAAGGATCCTCCTGCCTCAGCCGCCCCAGTAGCCTGGGACTACAGGCACACAGCACCGCATCTGACTAATTTTTAAAATATTTTGTAGGAATGGGGTCTCGTTATGTTGCCCAGGCTGGTCTTAAACTCCCAGCCTCAGGGAATCCTCCTGCCTTGGCCTCCCTTTTCAAAGCATTGAGATTACAGGTGTGAGTTGCCGTACCTGGCCTGAATTTTAAATATTTGCTGTGTTTCTTTTTCTGTGAGATGTTTATTCTTTGCTCTTTTAATTGATTTTTTTTTTTTTTTTGTATTTAGGAAGGTTTGTATCTGTGTCTTCCTGGTTACTTTTGTACTTAAACTAGTGACGACGCCCTGGTCTCCTGTCTCACAGGACTGTTCACGCTGCAGTCGAGCAGTTTGCACGGGCCTGGCAGCTCCACTGTTGGCCATCGGCGTCTGTGAGCCCTAGTGGCTTCTTCCTCTGCCTTTTGGTGACAGGACCTCCACAGGGGAGGCACACTCTGGTCCTCAGCCTCCCTCTCCCGCCTCCGCCTCACTCAGAGCCTGAGGATGTCTCTTCCCTGCAGTTTCCCGCCCAATAGAGGAGGCTCTTCCTCCCATTCCTGAGGCTGTTTCTGGGCCCTGACCGGAGGCGGCTTGGCTGGCTCAGAAGTCTTTTCTGTTCTTGCCTTGTGGGGGACGGGTGGGGAGGGGGGTGCAGGCTGGGAGGAGCCATGGAGGCTGATTCCTTCCCCTTCATGGGTTCTCTTCTCTTCCTCCCCGGCAGCCCTGCCGTCGGCTCTGAGAGCCCGTAGTGTATGAGGTTGCATCTCAGAGTCCCGCCGCCCACTGGGCCCTCGCAGTGCATTGGGTTTGGTGTCTCCTCTCGGGTGGGGTGTGGGTTTGGTGTCTCCTCTCAGGTGGGGTGTGGGTTTGGTGTCTCCTCTCGGGTGGGTGTGGGTTTGGTGTCTCCTCTCGGGTGGGTGTGGGTTTGGTGTCTCCTCTCGGGTGGGGTGTGGGTTTGGTGTCTCCTCTCGGGTGGGGTGTGGGTTTGTTGTCTCCTCTCGGGTGGATGTGGGTTTGGTGTTTCTTCTCAGGTGGGTGTGGGTTTTGGTGTCTCCTCTTGGGTGGGGTGTGGGTTTGGTGTTTCCTCTTGGGTGGGTGTGGGTTTTGGTGTCTCCTCTTGGGTGGGTGTAGGTTGTGTGGGTTTTGGTGTCTCTTCCGGGTGGGTATGGGTTTGGTGTCTCCTCTAGGGTGGGTGTGGGTTTGGTGTTTCCTCGGATGGGGTGTGGGTTTTGGTGTCTCCTCTCTGGTGGGGTGTGGGTTTGGTGTTTCCTCTCAGGTAGGTGTGGGTTTGGTGTTTCCTCTCAGTGGGTGTGGGTTTGGTGTCTCCTCTCGGGTGGGGTGTGGGTTTGGTGTCTCCTCTCGGGTGGGGTGTGAGTTTGGTGTCTCTTCTAGGGTGGGTATGGGTTTGATGTCTCCTCTCCGGTGGGTGTGTGTTGTGTGGGTTTGGTGTCTCCTCTCGGGTGGGGTGTGGGTTTGGTGTCTCCTCTTGGGTGGGGTGTGGGTTTGATGTCTCCTCTCGGGTGGGGTGTGAGTTTGGTGTCTCCTCTCGGGTGGGTGTGGGTTTGATGTCTCCTCTCCGGTGGGTGTGGGTTGTGTGGGTTTGGTGTCTCCTATCGGGTGGGGTGTGGGTTTGATGTCTCCTCTCGGGTGGGGTGTGAGTTTGGTGTCTCCTCTCGGGTGGGTGTGGGTTTGATGTCTCCTCTCCGGTGGGTGTGGGTTGTGTGGGTTTGGTGTCTCCTCTCGGGTGGGTGTGGGTTTGGTGTCTCCTCTCGGGTGGGGTGTGGTTTGCTGTCTTTTGTGAACGTCTCCTGGGTCATGGTGTGAATGTCCCACTCTGCCTGAGGGGGAGATTCGCCCAGCTCTCATTTGCCCTGTTTTCTCCTGACCCTTTTCCTCCTTTCTGTGTCTCGATTCTGTCCTCTTGGCTTCCTGCCTTTCGTAGGTTCCTTACTGCATTTTCACCGCCTCCCCTCCCTCAGACTGTTTGCAGTTTATTCATTTCTGAGATAATTTTGTCTCTTCCTTCCATTACTTTCTTAAGTCCAGTCAACTCTTATTTCCTTTTGGTGTTGCATTTGTAATTTTATGGTTTTTATAAAAATTTGTCTCCTAGTTTTTGAGGTTCTGATTTGAGGTGATGATTTTCATATCCTTAAGTGCACACTTAAGCAGATTTTCCTGTATTGAGAGTGTTGTTAATTTTCTTGTTGTTCCAGGGTAGGTTTTTCTCTGATGTGTGTGGAGCCCCCATTTTTTGACTCTTCTCTGACTTTCCCGTGGCTCTGGGTGGCTTTACCGCCTCTGTCCCTTTGCCCTGGTGGCCTTGGGGTATTTGCCACATCTGTGGTTTCCTGGTGCCGTCTGCTGGCCACATGGGGAAGTCCAGGTCTTGAGCGGGTCCTTGCTGGTGTGCAGGACGGAAGTTGTCCTCCAGTTCTCCCGGCCCTTTCCTGCAGGACCCAGAACTTCCCCCTTTCCTTCTTTTCTGCCTCACCACCCAGTGGCCAAAGGGCTCCTCTCAGGACATGCTGTGTTGCCTTGACAACCCCTTCCCGTCTTGTGCTCAGTGGTCCCTGCCCTGTGGTCTGCACTGACCTTCCTGGACACCTCTCAGGCCCTGGGACTTGGGGTGGCTTAGCCTTTCAGCAGTGGCTTCCCACAGACCCCTGTCCCACCCCGCCCCACCGCGGCCTTGCAGGGGAGAGACTGGGGGGTCAGGCTCAGGCGTGTGTTGACTCTGCGCCGACTTGCAGTGATTTTGAAGTCTAGGCGCCCTCGTCCAGTGCAGACGGCGATGCTGGTGTAAACCTGCGTTCCTTGCTTGTGCTGAACTGTGTTTGGAAGAGAGGCTGGGAGACATCAGCTCGGCAGCCACGTTGTCTTCGGCCTCCCGGAAGTGATGCTAACTTTCTAAGCTGTGTGTCTGAGTGTTTTTCGCTACTACTGCTGTTCTTCAAAACGTGCTGCCAGTGACCTGGCCTTGTGTGTGTGACACCCCGTAAATGGTTAGGCACGGAGAGGGCACGTACGCGTTCGGGGCGGAGGTGGCTGGAGTGTGTGCGGCATAGGCTATTGTTACCCGCCGCCCGGGGCGGCTGTGGGCACAGCATTCTCCACCCATTGCTCGGCTGGGGCTCCGTGGCGGAGTAAAGGACGGACCAAGGGGCTCCCGCCCCGGGAGCAGACGCGCTCCTCCCGGACAGCCCCCAGGTGCTGACCGTGTGGGGCCTGACGTTTGGGTGGCGCAGACCCTGCACCGGGCGGTTCCGCGGACGGCGACTCTGCATTTGGCTTCGATACTGAGTGTCTATGGCACATATGCGGTGGAGAGACCTCCTCCTTTCATTTGATCCTTTTGAGAGCCCTGTGATGGGGCGAGGGCTGTCTGCAGCGCCATGCGTCAGAGGTGGGGACCTGCAAAGGGAGGGCTCACGTGGTATGTCCAGGGCCGCGGGGATTTTGCTTCGCTTGCTTGTTTTCTAATCCCAGCACCTGTACCTAACAAACCCCAAGCCCCTGTGTTTGGAGTTGTTTAGGCCGAGGCCCCCAGGGCTCCATGTTGGTGCCGGCCCTTGTGGAGCTGTCTGTCGTCCCAGGCTCTGTTTTGCGCCATTGCGCCTGCACATGCCGCAGTCCCTCTGGAGTGGCCGTCGCGCCTGCACGGGCCGCAGTCCCTCTGGAGTGGCCACGGCGCCTGCACGGGCCGCAGTCCCTCTGGAGTGGCCACGGCGCCTGCACATGCCGCAGTCCCTCTGGAGTGGCCACGGCGCCTGCACATGCCGCAGTACCTCTGGAGTGGCCACCGCGCCTGCACGGGCCACAGTCCCTCTGGAGTGGCCATCGCGCCTGCACGGGCCGCAGTCCCTCTGGAGTGGCCATGGCGCCTGCACGGGCCGCAGTCCCTCTGGAGTGGCCATGGCGCCTGCACATGCCACAGTCCCTCTAGAGGCCGTCGCGCCTGCATGGGCCGCAGTCCCTCTGGAGTGGCCATGGCGCCTGCACGGGCCGCAGTCCCTCTGGAGTGGCCATGGCGCCTGCACGGGCCGCAGTCCCTCTGGAGTGGCCATGGCGCCTGCACGGGCCGCAGTCCCTCTGGAGTGGCCATTGCGCCTGCACGGGCCGCAGTCCCTCTAGAGTGGCCATGGGTGCCTTGACCCTGGTCCCCACAGGCCCTTCTTTCTCAGGAGTCCCATGGAGCTGGAAGCCCCCACTAAGCACTCTTCTCCAAGCAGGCTCCATGACCAGTCCCTGCCTGACCCCTCTGGCTGCTACGCCCACCATGGGCACAGCCCGTGAGGGGTTTGGATGAATCTAGGGAGGAAAGCCACTGCCACTGCCGTGTGGGTTGGGCACAGAAGGCCTTGGTCCGCTGGCAGCCCCAGTCCTGAGAAGAGAGGGGGAGGTTCCTACGAGATCTCCACTCCATCTTCAGAGCAGTTTAGCAACAAACTCTCTGCGGGAGCCAAAATCCACATAGAATTCTGCAAGCAAAGACCCTATGGGAAAGACAGGGAGTCTGGACCCCTCCTGCCTGGGGCGAAGTGGGCTGGGGAGAAGCGGGAGTGTGCCATGTAGAGAAAGGCAATTGGAGTATCAGGTAGGTTAGATTTGCGTTTTTCTTTTAAGATTTAAGAAAAATTTGAAGAAAAATTTGTATTGATAAAACTCACAGAATCTGGAGAAGTTATATTGTTCATTCATAGTGCACCTTCAGAGCTTGGTGCAGAAGCAGGGCCTGGCATCAGTTTCTCAGCGTGCTGGGCCCTGGGGGTGGCCTCAGCCCCAAGGAGGCACCGTCTGGCCTTGGTTGGTCTCGCCCCCTCCCTTGGTTGGTCTCGCCCCCGGCCTTGGTTGGTCTCGCCCCCGGCCTTGGTTGGTCTCGCCCTCGGCCTTGGTTCGTCTTGCCCCCGGCCTTGGTTGGTCTCGCCCCCTCCTTTGGTTGGTCTCGCCCCCGGCCTTGGTTGGTCTCACCCCCTCCTTTGGTTGGTCTCGCCCCCGGCCTTGGTTGGTCTCGCGCCCTCCCTTGGTTGGTGTCGCGCCCTCCCTTGGTTGGTGTCGCGCCCTCCCTTGGTTGGTGTCGCGCCCTCCCTTGGTTGGTCTCGCCCCCTCCCTTGGTTGGTGTCGCGCCCTCCCTTGGTTGGTGTCGCGCCCTCCCTTGGTTGGTGTCGCGCCCTCCCTTGGTTGGTGTCGCGCCCTCCCTTGGTTGGTGTCGCGCCCTCCCTTGGTTGGTGTCGCGCCCTCCCTTGGTTGGTGTCGCGCCCTCCCTTGGTGTCGCGCCCTCCCTTGGTTGGTCTCGCGCCCTCCCTTGGTTGGTCTCGCGCCCTCCCTTGGTTGGTCTCGCGCCCTCCCTTGGTTGGTCTCGCGCCCTCCCTTGGTTGGTCTCGCGCCCTCCCTTGGTTGGTCTCGCGCCCTCCCTTGGTTGGTCTCGCGCCCTCCCTTGGTTGGTCTCGCGCCCTCCCTTGGTTGGTGTCGCGCCCTCCCTTGGTTGGTCTCGTGCCCTCCCTTGGTTGGTGCTGACACTTGCGTTAGAATATCTTGATTTCTTACCCTCGGCAGCCTTTAAATTGAGCACCTGAGATGAGCGTCTCTCCTTCACCCCGGTCCTCTTTTTTAGCTGCTGAACTATTTTGAAGATAGAAACATCAAACACAGTCCGGAATTTATAGCAGGTGTCACTGGGTCACACAGCCTGTTTGGGTGGTGCCTGTGAGAGCCCTGCCCTCACCCTGCAAACTGTCACTCACCTCGCCTGAGTTCTCTTTTGGGAGGCCTGGCCCTCAGGTGCGGATCACTTTATAATGAGCTAGTGTGGAGTGCGGAGGCTTCAGTAGCAAAGGGACCCCGGGCAGGTCTGAAGAAGGGCCCTCACAGCGCAGGGCGTCTGAACGGAGACAGGTGCCCTCATCTGTTTGAATCTCACAGGAATAAAGAAAATGCAGTGGGTCAGAGACACACTTGCATGCCATCACACAAGGCAGCCATGCTCCCAGCCTGAACTGAAAGTGGCAGAACGGGGAAGGGGGGAGGAAGGACGGCATGAGGGGCGGGGCCATGTCAGGGCTGTTCACAGCAAGGCTCCCACTGGCACACACAGCAGAATCCGCTCCTTCCAGCATCTTAACTTTGGTTGAGAATGTGCTGTAAAGATGCCATCGTAATCTTTGTACTTAAATATATGTGAGCAGCTTTCACCATCGGAGCAGAACTTAGTTTTCATGCCAGCTGGGGGAAATGACAGCTGTTGGGAGTTGTGTGGCACGTGCCCCGCTGGGCGGTGTCGTGTGTGTGTGGTGCGCGCCCCGCTGGGCGGTGTTGTGTGTGTGTGGCGCGCGCCCCGCTGGGCGGTGTCGTGTGTGTGGCTCGTGCCCCGCTGGGCGGTGTCGTGTGTGTGGCGCGTGCCCCGCTGGGCGGTGTCGTGTGTGTGGCGCGTGCCCCGCTGGGCGGTGTCGTGTGTGTGGCGTGTGCCCCGCTGGGCGGTGTCGTGTGTGTGGCGCGTGCCCTGCTGGGCGGTGTCATGCAGGTGTCATCAGCTGAAACCGCCAGAGCTCTCCACAGGAGCTGGCACGCAGCAGCTATGCTTCTCCAAGCAGGAACACATCTGAGGCAGCTCGGGAGACACCTGGTCACCTGTAGGGGCTGACGGAGGCGGCGTCTGTGCAGCCAGGGCCCAGCCAGAGGCTCAGGGATCACTGTGGGAGCCACTGAGAAACCCAGCCTTCCCAGCTGACCCAGCATGCCCAGTCCCAGCCAACCCCAGGCCTCCCAGTGCAGGAATTCAGCAGCCAAGCGGGGATGACACACACAGACCTAGTGTGGCTTTTGTGCCCCAGCTGAGTCCACAGGCAGTCCAGCTGTGGTCACATGGAGGGTGGCCCTGGGGCCGCTCAGCCATTTGCCTTGGGTGGGTGCCACCCCCTAGTCCATCCTCAGCCCCAGGACCAGGTCCAAGCACTGTGGGGCATTGGGCAGCATCTGAGTGTGCCCTGTCCTGAAGGTGCAGCATGGGGCCTCCTGCCCTTGCCCCTGCCCTGGCAGGGCCCTGGACAGCACCCCAGCTCCAGCTGTGGGCCTACCGGAAGGAGCCCGTGCCAGGCCTGGCCTCCTCTGGAATCGGGGTACTTGGCTCAGATACACAGGCTCATTGCAAGCCCCACTCTGAGCCCCACTAACACACTGTCTTCTCCTTTTTCATCACCAGGGGTCGGGCCCCGGCTCAGTGGTCCCAGGCAGCTCGGGTGTCGGAACCCCCAGACAGTTCACGCGACAAAGAATCACGCGGGTCAACCTCAGGGACCTCATATTTTGTTTAGAAAATGAACGTGAGACAAGCCATTCACTGCTGCTCTACAAAGCATTCCTTAAGTGACACAGGAGGACGCCTGGGGACTTTTTATATATTTGCAGATTACGCCTTTTTGTAACGAGCAAATGGGATATTGTTTAAAAAACAGCCACCTCTTTACAATGGAACAGTTTTATATTCCTGTTTCTAAATCAGCTCTTCAGTGTGAAAGAAAACACGTTTCTGTAACAGAGAGAACACAAAGGCCTGTGGATACTCTTAAAGGACAATTAAATCTTAACTCATCTTGATTGAGTGGCCTTCCTGCCAAACAAGCCATATATAAAGACTGATGGAATCGTTAGCAAATAATTAGCTGCCCTCTGTCAACTCATAGCAGTTTCTGCATTATTTGTGCATTTTGGTTTAGTTCTACCTAACTTACTATGTAGGTGTATGTCTACAGCCGATGACCTCATTTCGTTTATTTTATTTTTGTAATAGTCAGTTGGCAAAGCAAACTGATTTTTTAGACTATTTATCTTCCTTCCCTTCCCCTCCCACCCCGCTCTCCTCTCTGCCCCCTGCCCTCCCCTCCCCTCCCTTCCCCTCCACTCCGCTGAGAATCCTGGAGGAATACACAATTCATCGTTGCACCCCCACCTCAGAGTGTAATCGCATTTCTGCTTGGTAGAGGCCGAGCCCAGCAAAGGTGGCTCCTTCTGAATGTGTGGTCAGCATCTGTACAAATGCATTTTATTTGCTATAGTTTGTAAAGCTGTAAAGTTAAAAGAGATGAAAACCTTTTCAGCATAAATATATTTTACTTGCACTGTGTTTTTTAGCTAAAAGTGAAAACCTAGATTAAATAAAATCAAAGTTGAGAAGAATCATCAAAAGACTGTTTCTCGGTGTGAATCAAGTGTTGAAAAATGGTTGGTGTATTTTGTCAGTAATTGTACATAACTTTTGGCACATGACATAGAAATGGCTATGTAAACTATAATTATTTTGCTAAGAGACTGTATGCAAGCCTTGGGCCGACTTTACAGACGTCCAGAGCAAAGCCCCTTCTTTGTACCTATTTTTTTATTACAAATATACTAATTGGTTCTTTCTATTTTCAGAGGTTATTGTATGAAATTGTCTATTGATAGTACTTTTATGACTGTAAATACTCTGGCTTTCTCCGTGTGAATTCTCACATTAGACTTTAATTCGAGCGCGTGTGAACTGAACGCTGATCAGTATTTTTTATCAACACCTGAGAACTGTTACACCTTTTATTTTGTCTTTTAGGAAATCCCTGTCTTTCCATTTTTTCATGTAAATTTTGCACAGTTACTTGTTCATATGTAAATATTTTACTTTCAGAAATGAAGTTTTTAATTGCTATTGTTTTATATAGGATTGAAAGAAAATTAACTCCTTTATTAAAAACAAATTTATCTGTATTTGTTTTGCCTATTTTTCCTCCGTTTTCCAGTTTTAGATTCTACTGCCAGATTGCACTCCGGCTCTGCTGAGGTGCTGGTTTCTGAGCCACCTGTTGGAATCTGTAGCTGAGCCCCATCAGAGCCGGGAGAAAGAACTTTCTCTGTGAGGACAGGGGCCGAGCTACTCTCTGCGTGGAGTCTGGGGGCTGGCGGCTGCGCTTAACACCTTCTGCTGTCACAGGTGGAGATGAGCTGGGCACAGCTAGGAGGGGCGGCGGGAGGCCCAGTGCTGGGGGAGATGTACACAGAAACGCACGTGGCGAGCCCGGCTGAGGTGCCCAGAGGGCCCCAGCCTTGACGCAGACCTCCTGTGGCGAGAGAGGGCGTCTCCAGGGCAGTTTGTGGTATTGGTTGGTCCTGACAGGTCACAGCTCCTGCTGGGCCCTCAGAGGCTCAGCGCCAATGTGTACCGCTCCCTGCCTTCGAGCACCTTGGAGAGCCTTTGGGAACGGTCTCTGATGCAATTGGAGTTGGTCTCCCATTGTGACGTTCACTCCACCTACTGTGACGGACCCACAGCGATATGCAGGTTTACGTACACGTTCTGCTGGAGACACTGCCCCTGTTCCCACACCTGTTGCACTGCCCCACTGGGGCTGCCATCACAAAGGACCACAGATCGTCCCACCGCTCTGGGGGCCACGGTTGGAGATCAAGATGCCAGCAGGGTGGGTTTCTCCCCAGGCTCTGGGGAAGGGTCTGCTCTCCCAGCTTCTGGCAGCTGCTGGCACCTTTGGGTTCCTTGGCTTAGACACAGCGCCCGATCTCTGCCTCTGCCTTTCCACAGCTTCTCCCTTGTGTATGTCGGTCTCTGGGTCCAGCTTCCCCTCTCTGTAAGGACCCCCAGTCCTGTTGGATCAGGTCCCGCCCAAACGACCTCATTCTGACTGGATTATCTCTGTAAAGACCCTAACTCCAGATAGAGTCACATTCTGAGGACCGGGGGTAAAGAGTCCTCCGTATCTTTTTTAGGGAGGAAACAATTCACCCTGGATACGTGGCCACACTGAGAGTCTCGGCAGGAAGCACTGGGGGGCGCCCTCTCCAGCTTCCCGCTCTAGGCCGTGCCAGGGTCGTTCACTGATGGGATCACATCTGTGCTTTCCATCCATGACCCATACCTGCCTTTCACAAAGTTCTTGACCTGAAATAAATTAGTTTAATCAGGTACAAAGGGCAGTTGCACTTGAATTTCTGCAAGTATGATTGATTTCATTCCAGCTCTTCTGCTCTTCTGTCGGGTCCAGTCAGTCTGTGTGGGACGGTCATGGTGACTTGAGGCTTAGGCCAACATGAGAGAGATTCCCCTCAGCCGGGCACTGCCAGAAGACCGGGTCTGCAGGCATGTTTGTTGTACTCTGTTCTTGAGACCCGTAGCTGCTGTTTCGCATCTCATCACAGATTTGCTGGCTGCCCTCAGTCTGATCTGGGTGTTTGCCCAGGCCTGGGGCACGAGCAGCCTCGTGAACATGACTGGGACGGCCACTCTTGCTGCCTCTGCTCCCCACGTACAGGCAGCTCCAGTTGGGCAAAAAAGGCAAGAAAAAGAGGCATCAAGTATGGAGAGGAAGAAGGTGAACAAAGGATTCAGAGGTGACACGACTGTGTGTCTTGGAAATCCAGACGAACTTACAAACACAACACTGAGCACGGCGCGTGAACTCCCAAAGAGGGCCAGAGGCGAGGCCGGTAGCTGGAGGTGTCTGTAGTTCCGTGTACTCGCAACCAACAACCAGAAGGTTAAAAACATGCCGTCAACAATAGCACGGAGAACACACGCCCAGGAATACACCGAATGAAAGATGTATGAGATCTTACACTGGAACTGAGAAATCAAAGCCCTCAGCGGAGGCCGACACCACAGTGCTAGTAGGGAAGACTCTGTGTTGCTGAAGACAGCAAGTCTGTCAGGACTGAGAAACAGATGCAATGCCAGCTCAACCAAATCCCAGCAGGATTTTCCTAGAAACTGACAATCTGATTCCATAAATGTATATAGAAATGCAGAGGACTTAAATAGCCAAGACAGCCTAGGACAGAATGGAGCACTTGACCCTCCCACATTTCAAGACTTCCCCTGAAGTGACAGCAATCAGGATGTCGTGCCGTCGGAGCAAAGACAGGCGTGGCTGAAGGCCCTGGTGCAGTTCTGTGCCCTGTGGGGGAAACGTGATCTTGGAGTCCATCTTCACACTGTACGTAACCATCAACTTGAGGTGGATCAGAGATCTGGAAAGCGTCAGAGGTCTTCATGACTGGGAGTGGGCAAGGATTTCTAAGCACATAGAAGGCACACATCCTGAAGAAGAATGCATAAATTGGGCCTCAGCTACAGCCTTTTGCTCATCAAGATGCCCTTGGAGGTTGGTCAGCGTTTAGTTCAAGGTCAGAGTGGAACCTTTGCTTTTTGGCAGTCATGTTGTGGTCCGAGGCACGGGACGCACAGATTTTCTTTAGACTGGCTTCTTCGCCACACTTACACGGGACGCAGAGGAGATTTTCTATAGACTGGCTTATTCACCACACTTACGAATGCCACAATCTATCATTTAGATTTCATGAACACAGTGGGAAAAAAGTGTCTATTCAATTTTTATGAAATACATTGTTTCTGAAAAAGTTTAGATACTAATCTCTATTTTTTTCTTTATAGTTTTGCTATGTTACTGAGGAAAAATGGAATGTAAATTTCTCTTTAGAATGTTAAAAAAAGGTATATAAAGTAAAAAGGCAAGCCACAGACTTGGAGAAATATTTGCAATATTTATACATGACACAGGAATAAAGAATTCCACTACTTAGTAATAAAAAGATAACACAATAACAAATGTGCGAGACACTTGAACAGGTGCTTTAGAAAAGATACACAAGTGGCGAATAAGCAACTGAAAAGGTGCCCACCGTTACTGGTCATTAGAGAAATGCAAATGGACACCACAGCGAGGCTCCACTGTGTGCCCACCCTCAGGGCTTGAATCTGAAAGACTCTCATCCAGTGGTGGCATGTTGTGTGACACAGGAAGCTGAACGCACGTCTGCCCGGTGTGTGACGCAGTGATGAAGCTGAATGCCCGTCTACCCAGTGTTGAATGCACGTCTACCCGGTGTGTGATGCAGTGATGAAGCTGAATGCACGTCTACCCAGTGTTGAATGCACGTCTGCCCGGTGTGTGATGCAGTGATGAAGCTGAATGCACGTCTACCCAGTGTTGAATGCACGTCTACCCGGTGTGTGACGCAGTGATGAAGCTGAATGCACGTCTACCCAGTGTTGAATGCACGTCTGCCCGGTGTGTGACGCAGTGATGAAGCTGAATGCACGTCTACCCAGTGTTGAATGCACGTCTGCCCGGTGTGTGACGCAGTGATGAAGCTGAATGCCCGTCTACCCAGTGTTGAATGCACGTCTGCCCGGTGTGTGATGCAGTGATGAAGCTGAATGCACGTCTACCCAGTGTTGAATGCACGTCTGCCCGGTGTGTGACGCAGTGATGAAGCTGAATGCACGTCTACCCAGTGTTGAATGCACGTCTACCCGGTGTGTGATGCAGTGATGAAGCTGAATGCACGTCTACCCAGTGTTGAATGCACGTCTACCCGGTGTGTGATGCAGTGATGAAGCTGAATGCACGTCTACCCAGTGTTGAACGCACGTCTGCCCGGTGTGTGATGCAGTGATGAAGCTGAATGCCCGTCTACCCAGTGTTGAATGCACGTCTACCCGGTGTGTGATGCAGTGATGAAGCTGAATGCACGTCTAACCGGTGTTGAATGCACGTCTGCCCGGTGTGTGACGCAGTGATGAAGCTGAATGCCCGTCTAACCGGTGTTGAATGCACGTCTGCCCGGTGTGTGACGCAGTGATGAAGCTGAATGCCCGTCTACCCAGTGTTGAACGCACGTCTGCCCGGTGTGTGATGCAGTGATGAAGCTGAATGCCCGTCTACCCAGTGTTGAACGCACGTCTGCCTGGTGTGTGATGCAGTGATGAAGCTGAATGCCCGTCTACCCAGTGTTGAACGCACGTCTGCCCGGTGTGTGATGCAGTGATGAAGCTGAATGCCCGTCTACCCAGTGTTGAATGCATGTCTACCCGGTGTGTGATGATGCAGTGATGAAGCTGAATGGGCATCTCTTCAGTGTGTGACACAGCGACGAAGCCGAATGCACATCTATCCTGTGACCAGCAGTTCCAGTCCTAAGCATCTACTTGAGAATGAGTTCCTTTGTCCGCGGAAAAGTCATACAAGAATGTTCACAATGGCCGTATTGATGCTCAAGATGGAAGCAGCCCAAATGCCCTTCAGCAGGTGAATGGAGAGTCAAACAGATGCATATTTAGTCAGTGAAACGCCCCCCAGGAATAAAAAGGAACGAACTACTGATATGCTCCACCAGGTAGCTGAATCTCAGAGGAGCTACGCTGACTGGAAGAGGCCGGACACAGAAGCCTATGCATTCTGATTCCGCCTGATGGAAGTTCATGGGTGGGTAGAAGCAGGGTGTGGGGCTCCGGTGAGGAGACTGTCGGGAAGGGGCGCCAGGGCCCTCTGGGGTGATGAAAATGTTCTGTTTTGATCATCATGGGTGTCACACAGGCGCGTGCCAATGTGAAACACTAAGCTGACAGGTAATATCTGTGCATTTGAGCCAGTGTAAGGGCACCTCAGTTAAGCAACCGGGAAAGGCTTGGGCCCCACCCAGGTGGGTCACCTGGCCCCGCACTAGGGATCTGACACCAAAGGACTCGTGGCATGTAATGGCCCCGATGGTGGGCCGAGTGCCCCGACGGGGGGCCGAGTGTTCCGACGGGGGGCCGAGTGCCCCGACGGGGGGGCGAGTGCTCCGACGGGGGGCCGAGTGCCCCGATGAGGGGGCCGAGTGTTCCGATGGGGGGCCGAGTGTTCCGATGGGGGGCCGAGTGCCCCGATGGGGGGGCCGAGTGTTCCAATGGGGGGCCGAGTGCTCCGATGGGGGGCCGAGTGCCTGAGAAGTTGTCATCGTTTTTCCAGTGCTGCTCTGACTACAAATCTGGTGGTTCTCCACAGTCAGTTGCTGGCGTTTTCCCTTCTATCAGACGGTGGCCTCCAAATGTAATTAAAAAAAATCTTTTTAATACTAGGTCTACAAATCAAGTGTAATTTTATCTAAAAAAGAAAAAGTCTGGGTGGATGTGGTGGCTCATGAGGCCTGTAATTCCCAGCATTTTGGGAGGCCGAGGCGGGCGGATCACCTGAGGTCAGGAGCTCGAGACCATCCTGGCCAACGTGGTGAAACCCCATCTCTACAAAAATAGAATTATCTGAGCGTGGTGGTGTGCTCCAGTAGTCCCAGCTCCTCGGGAGGCTGAGGCAGGAGAGTCGCTTGAACCCAAGAGGCAGAGGTTGCAGTGAGCCAATGTCATGCCACTGCACTACAGCCTGAGGACAGAGCAAGACTGTCTCAAAAAAAAAAAGGAAAAGGTCCCCTGAGCCTTCACCTGGCCCTGGCCTCAGGGCACTATTCACCCGGGGCTGCCACTGAGGCAGTGGCATCTGTGCTGCTCTAGGCTTTCATTGGTCTGAGCAGCTTTGGGGACCCATCGGGGCCTCCTGTGTCCTCAGTGCCATACAGACAGCAAGTGCTCAACCAGTGCCTGATCTCACGATGGTGGTTATGCGATTCGAAAGACCCCAGTCCCTATGCAGCCTTCCGAAGCCCCCTCCCTGGCGGCGCTGGCTATGCCCAGCAGAGCGTTGACACAAAGCTGGGCTGGGCATAGTCCCTGTGATGCTGAGCTCACCAGGAAGGTCGAACGGGAGCTTCCTAGAGCACCTTCAAGACTTGCTTGGAAGACAGATCACACTCCTTGTTAGAAACGCAGCTAGCTGCTTGTCAGGCTGTTCACTCCTAACTGCTAGAATTTGTTTGAGAAGGATGGGCATGCGTATATCTGTCTGCTAGAATTTGTTTGAGAAGGATGGGCATGCGTATATCTGTCTGCTAGAATTTCTGTTTGAGAAGGATGGGCATGCGTATATCTGTCTTTTCTCAATGTTCTTACTCAGCAAGTGCTGTGAGCGCCTCTCAGGCATGGGAGCCCTTCCAGGGGCTGCAGGGGCCGGACCCTGGGGAGCCTCCTGGCTGGCGAAGGGGCTGGGTAGAGGCTTGAGGTGGAAAAGGCTGGGGCTGGGGAAGGGCGCAGGTGGACAGGAGAGCTCTCAGGTGTGAGCAGAAGAGAGGCGGCTTCTCTCTGGGTGCATCTGAGGAGGATGTTGAGAATCATGTTTCCTGAGCTTATTTAGAAATTAAAAACGCAACAAAATACCAGGAACACACTCGTGAGGATGGGACCAGGACGAGTGTCGGGAGGGCACGGAACTCCTGGAGGTGCTGGGGTGTGGACTGTGGTTCACACCCTTCTGGCAGTTTCTTAAGGGGTTAAACATGCGTCTCTCACCGCTGCTTCTGGAGAAATGAACACAGGTGTCCAGCAAAGCCTTGTACAAGGTTCACAGCAGCTTTATTTTACCCCGCAGTGGAACGCTTGCGACAGCAGGAGCCCGCTGCTTCCACTTGTGGGAGATGCTGGGCAGCGCAGTGATGGGAGTGAGGAAAGGCCCTTGGGCACCTTTGTCGATGGGGTGGGAGAGGCCTGCCAAGGGCGTGAAGAAACTTGGGTGATGGAGAATTATCTTGACTGTGATGGTTTCACAGGTGTGCAAAGTGTCGAAACTTTCCGCATTGCACACTATAAATATATGCAGGTTACCATACGTCAATCAGGTCTATCTCAATAACGCTGCAAAAATAAATGAATGAAAAATAAAAAAGCTGCGTTCGTGTGTGGAGACAGGAACATGGGAGGTGCCAAATGGAAGAAGCAGAGGTGCGGGTGGGGAAGAGGTGAGGGTGGGGCACTGGGGAGGGGGAAGGAAGGTGCAGGGAAGGGGAAGGAGGGTTCAGGGAGTGGGGAGGGGGTTACAGGGAGGAGGGATGGGTGAAGGGGGAGGGGAGCAGGGGGTGCAGGGAGGAGGGGAAAAGGCAGCAAGGGGAGGGGGAAAAGGGAGGGGAGGGGGGAAGGGAGGACGGGGGAAAGGAGGAGAGGGGGAAAGGGAGGGGGGAACGGAGGGGAGGTGGGGAAAGGGAGGAGGGGGTAAAAAAAGGGGAGGAAGGAAGGGAGGGGAAGGGGGAAGGGAGGGGAGGTGGGAAGGGGTGCAGGGAGGTGGCAGGTTTGATGGTGCTGAGGGGCGGGGTGGGGGGCACTGCTCCTGACCCTGGTCCAGGTCCAGCACTGTCTGCTGATGCTGGAGGTGGGGTGGGAGGTCCGAGGTGGGAGGAGGGAGGAGGTCTGGTCCTGGTGGAGGGACCTTTCCATCTCTAGGCTGCAGGGGTGGTGGGGAGGGAGGGACGTACAATATTGTTTCGCCAACAAGCGTCCAAGGAGCTGGAGCTTGCTGGGCTGCCAGAGTCCCCTGAATGTGGCCCAGTTCTCTAGCAGGGCCTTCCACTCTGTGCTGCTCTTCCCCTATGTCCTCTCAAATGCCACCAGCTCCAGGAAGCCCTCCGCCTCCGTCCTGAGCACTCATCCCCTCACCAGCAGCCCTCTGGGTCACTTCAGACTTCACTTCTTGGCCACACTGGAGCCCTGGTGGTCCCTGGGCCGCCTCAGAAGCTTATGAGAAATGCCACGTGATGACTGAGGGGGCCCCGTGTCTCCCGGCACAGCGCCTTGCACGGGCACATGGGGCCAGCAGGCCCCACCCATCCTACCCGCTCGGGGTGGACCCAGGGGGGTGGGTCATGTGGCCTGGCTTGTCTTGGTCACTGACACAAGCTGAGGGATGGCCGTGACCTCAGCCTGGCCAGTCCTGTCTCACCCAGACATGTTACAGGAACTCCCAGAAGGACACTTCATGTTTGGGGGCTGGCAGGACGTCAGCTCAGTTGTCCAAGGACTGCCACCGTGGCCACTGCGGGGCAGAGTGTGGCTGAGACCAACACAGAGGCCGAATGAAGAGCCAGCCTTGATGGCATCCCGGAGCGCCTGGATCCAGCCGTGCCTGAGGACTGGCGCCTGGATCCAGCCGTGCCTGAAGACTGGCACTGGGTCTGTTTTCATGGTTGGGGGCAGGTGGCTATAAGAATGCCACACACCAATTCCAGGCTGCGGTGGACCCAGCCAGCCACGAGAACGAGCTCCCAGGAGCTGAGGATGGAGGGGGAGCCCGACATTGCAAGCCAGGCCCTGGAAAGCCAACTGCCCAGTCCTCGCTGCTGCCCTGCCAGGGCCCCTCCCCGCCCTTCCCCTCCCAGGGTAGATTGAGGGGAAAAGAAGCGTGGGCCCCAACCCTGGTGGTGCCGAGAACCCTTGCCAGAGAGACTTTGGGGAGCGCTCCCCCTAGAGGGGATGTCAGAGGCTTTTGGACACTCGGTGTGTGGGGAGGTGCTGAGACTCCTGGCGGGTCCTGAGGGCTGGATTGGGGCCACATGGTGGGGCTGAGGCCCACCCCTTCTGAGGGCCCCAGAGGGAAGGGTCCCCACACCCCCTCCTCAGAGCACCCACTTGCTGCGTTTGGGGAGGGGCTAGTCGAGGCCTCCCTGTTCCTCCAGGGAGAGTCTGGCTTAGGCCCTCCTCCGGATGCAGATGGCCCTTTCCCCTGTGAGCCTCAGTCTCCTCATCTCTGAAATGGGGACAGTGGCAGCACCACCCAGCGCCCGGGTGGCCGAGGGTTGACCTCAGCGCACTCGCCCCCACCTGGCCGCAGAGACAGGAACACAAAACACGCAGCTGCCCTGCGGGGTAGGGGACACGTGGCAGGCCAGGGGAGGGGCGGGGCCGGAGGGTCGGGGTCGGGGCTAGAGGGCTGGGGGCGGGGCCGGGGGCAGGGCCGAGGCGGCAGGTGGCAGCGCGAGTTCGCGGCGGGTCTGGGGCGGACACAGGCTGTGCCTTGTGGGAGCCGAGGAGGAGCCAGGGGCGGGGGGCCCGGGGAGGAGATCAGGCTCGAGCCCGTGGGTAAGGCCCGGGGCGGGGCACCTGGGCCTGGGATGCTGGGTGCATGGTGGGGGCCAGGTGGGGGGCAACGGGATGTGAGTGGGGGCGGCCGGGGGGGCCAGGGAGGCTGGGGAGGCGGGACGCGGCCCGTGTGGGGACGCGGGTGCCGGGTGGAGGGTGCCGGGGACTGGAGTCCCGGTGCGCCCCGCGTCCTTCGTGGAGGACACCTTCGCCTCCTCCCACCCTGCCTGTGTCCGTCTACACCTCCCCAAGCAGACACCTGGCCCGTACCCCGGGGTTTAGAGCCCAGGGCAGTCGCAGTCACCCAGGCTGACTCGCGGGAGGGCTGCCGATGTGCCAGGCTCTGCGGGGAGGGGAGGGGTCACAAACCTGCCACAGTCCCTGCACGTCGGGTCGTTGCCGGTGGAACTCCTGAGAGGGCACCAGACGTTGGAACCCAAGAGGCATTTGGCACCACAACCCCCAGGTAGAAGAAAAAAGGAAAAAGGGGCCCAGGAGGACGCAGTCCTGCGAACCCCGCGAAGGCTTATCTCCAGGGAGTAAAAGACTCGGGGACCCCCCGCCTTCCCGGACCTCAGGGCATCTAGGGTCCTGCAGTCGCCTGGGGTGGTGACACCCGGAACGGTGTGCAGGCAGGGCAGGGCAGGCGGAGCCAGCACCGACCGCATCTCCAGGGGATCTTGCTTCTCAGAGAGGAGACTCTTCCCAGAAAGCAAAACAGGCGGGGACACCCTAGATTCGGCAGCAGCTCCCAGGAGGAGGGACTGCAGGGACAGACTCGGGGCTTCCTGGTAGGCAGGTGGGTGGGAAACTGGCTCAGCCTCCACCACAGCAGCTTGAAGCACAGCCACCAGTGCCTGAGAAAGGACCTCTGCTCTTCCTAAAGCCAAGGAGGCTCCGTGAGGGTGAAGCGGGGCCAGACCCCACCCCAGCCACACAGGGCTTTGGCTTGCCGTCTTGACTCCTCCAGCAGTGACTTGAAGTTTCTCAGCTCAGTTTAAAAAAACAAAACAAAACAAAACAATAAAAAAAAAATTGGCCTATTGCGGTGGCTCACGCCTGTAATCCCAGCACTTTGGCTGGCTGAGGTGGGAGGATTGCTTGAGCCTGGCAGTTTGAGACCAGTCTGGGCAACAAGGCAAGATCCTGTCTATATAAAAAATACAGAAATTTTCATGCATGCCTGTAGTCCCAACTACTCAGGAGGCTGAGGTGGGAGGATCACCTGAGCCCAGGAGTTCAAGGTTGCAGTGAGCTGTGATCATGCCATTGTACTCTAGCCTAGGGGTGGACCCTGTCCAGGACCTAGGGTCTTGAGAGCAAGACCCTGTCTCCAAACAAACAAACACCACCCCAAACAAACTCAACTAGGAATTTTACTGGGATTGCATTGAATCTACAAATTGATTTGGGGAGAACTGACATTTTACATTATTGAATTTTCTAATCCAGGAATATGGCATAGCCATTTATTTATGTGTTTAATTTCACTGTGTAGTTTGCAGGTGGAGGTCTTTCATGTCTCCAATTAGATTTATTTCTAAGTATTTGGATGCTGATATGGTTTGGCTGTGTCCCCACCCAAATCCCATCTTGAATTGTAGCTCCCATAATCAGCACGTGTTGTGGGAGGGGCCTGGTGGGAGGTACCTGAATCATGGGGGTGGGTTTTTCCCGTGCTGTTCTCGTGATAGTGAATAAGTCTCATGAGATCTGATGGTTTTATAAAGGGCAGTCTCCCTGCACACGCTCTCTTGCCTGCCGCCATGTAAGACGTGACTTTGCTTCTCCACCTTCCGCCATGATTGTGAGACCTCTTCAGCCACGTGGAACTGTGAGTCCATTAAACCTCTTTTTCTTCATAAATTACCCATCTTGGCTATTTCTTCACAGCAGTATGAAAATGGACTAATACAGATACTGTTGTAAATGCTATAATTTTAAAGTTCGTGTTCTGTTTGTTTGTGCTAGTCTACAAACACTTGATGGATTTGTTTTTTGGGTATATTGACCTTGTCCCCAGTGACCTTATAACTCCACTGATTAATTCTAACAGATTGTTTATCTATTCTTGAGGCGTTCCTCTGTATGCAGCTGTGTCATCCGTGAACAACCACATTTTATTTTTTTCCCTTCCAACCTTTACATCTTTTATTTTTTCTTGCTTTCTGCACAGGCTGAGGCTTCCAGGCCAATGCTAAGAAGAGTGTGGTCCGGGGCCCTTGCCTCCTTTCCATCTCCAGAGGAAGTCTTCCTGTGCCTCAGTAAACTTTCTGATCTTCATGCAAGTCCTGTGCTTGGCTGGGTGGGCTTTCCTAAGGCAAGTCCCTGTGTACTGTCCTGATATTTGTTGTACCCTGGGCACGGAGGGGCTCAGCCAAAGCCTCCTGTAGCCCAGCCCCCCAGTTGCTCCCCTCCCTTCGGGATTGAGAGAGGGAAGCAGGCCCCGGCGGTGGGTGTGGTTTGGTGGCGAGCGGCACTCCTGTCTCCTGTGCCTCCCGGGGTCTCTGTGTGTTTTGTCAGCAGTCTCCTGAGCCATGGGGGGCTTTCCTCCTAGATGTGCTCACGTGGTCAAGGTGGGCTCCTGGTTTTTTTTGTTTGTTTGTTTTTTTCTGAGATGGAGCCTCACTCTTCGGCCCAGGCGGAACGGCAGTGGCGCCATCTCGGCTCACTGCAAGCTCCGCCTCCCGGGTTCATGCCATTCTCCTGCCTCAGCCTCCCGAGTAGCTGGGACTACAGGCGCCTGCCACCGTGCCCGGCTAATTTTTTGTATTTTTAGTAGAGATGGGGTTTCACCGTGTTAGCCAGGATGGTCTTGATCTCTTGACCTCGTGATCTGCCTGCCTTGGCCTCCCAAAGTGCTGGGATTACAGGCGTGAGCCACCGCACCCGGCCGTTTTTTGTTTTTGAAACAGGATCTCTCTGTCGTCCAGGCCGGAGTGCGGTGGTGCAATCATAGCTCACTGCAGCCTGGAACTCCTGGCTCAAGCAATCCTTCGGCCTCAGCCTGTAGCTGGGACTCCAGGCATGCACCACCACACCTGGCTTGTTTTTAAAATTTTTTTGTAGAGATGGAGTCTCCCTATGTTGCTAGCATTGGTGTCAAACTCCTGGGCTCAAGAGATCCTCTTGCCTTGGCCTCCCAAAGCGCTGGGATTACCGGTGTGAGCCACCATGCCTGGCCTAGGCGGGCTCATTTTCGCTGGGAGTGTCTGCTTTCTGGTCATTATCGGTGCCTGCTGTTCCTGAATCACTGCTGCCTGGAGACATCTTCCTGTTCTATCTGGAAAACTTCCTGGTCCTACAGCCTGTGAATGGCTGATCAGGGCTCATGAGCCAAGTAGAACTCTGGGACCCAATCCAATTAAACAATGGTGGAGGTCACTGTGCACAGTGTGCCCCACAAACTCTGCTCCACGCCCTGTGGCAGCCTCTCCTCTGGCCTCAGCCCACCCTGCACCACACTCCCCAGGCCCATCCGCCTTCCCCTTATCAGGGAAACATGACCGTGATTTTGGGCTTCTTGCCTCCAGAACTGAGGGAATACACTTCTGTTACTTTATACCACCTCGTTCATGTCCTGTGTCAGTGCAGCCCCGTAACATGAGCCCAGCTGGAGAAAGGACCACTCGCTAGGGTTAGAGGGAACAATCCCCAGAGCTCACACAAGGCTGGGAATAGGGCGTCTAGCCATCAGTCAGAGGCAAACACCTCCTCATTCGTGGGGCGTGGCATAGAGCACCCAGAAGGACTTTTCCTCACCACCGAGGAATGCTCTGCTTTCCTACCTAACAAAGCAAGGTCCCCAAGGATGAAACTGTTAAGTGACGTGATAGTGTCCCACAGCAAAGCTCAAGAATGTTTGGAATACAGAAACATCCAACACCCAGAAACGTAACAGTCACAATGTATGGCATTCAATTAAAAAAAAAAATTACCAGGCCAGCAGAGAAGCAGGAAAATACAACCCGTAATGAGCAGAAAATCCAACCCATTAAAATTGACCTAGAAATGTGATAGGTGAGAGAATTGCTATGCAAAGAAATTCACACAGTCACTGTAACTATGATGCATGCTCAGGAAGCCAGCTGAAAGCCCAAGAAGAGACAAAGAACGTATAAAAAGGCTCTGACAAGACTGGGTATGGTGGCTCATACCTGTGATCCCAGCACTTAGGGAGGCCAAGGCAGGAGGATCGCCTGAGCCCAGGAGTTCAAGACCAGCCTGGGCAACACAGCAAGACCCTGTTGTTAAAAAAAAAAAAAAAGTCTCTGACGAAACTGCTGGAGATAAAAACCACAATGTCTGATGTGAAAATCACACTGGATGAGGTACGACATGAATGGTAGAGTGGACTTGGCGGAGGAAAAGAGCAGAGGACCTGAAGATGTAGCAGTAGAAATCATATAAAATATAACACATGAGGGGAAGGGAGGGAAAAAGACTCCAGAGCATCAGTGGGCTGTATGAGGATGATGCCAACGGGTTAGTATGTCTGTAAGGGAAGCTTCCCAAAGAGGAGAAGCAAAAAAACATTTGAAGAAATAGTGATTAAAGTTATTCCAAATTTGGTGAAATCTAAGAAGCTCATACATAAGAAACACACAAAACATAAGAAACACACACAAAAACCCGACATCAGCCAGGCGCGGTGGCTCACGCCTGTAATCCCAGCGCTTTGGGAGGCCGAGGCAGGAGGATCGCTTGAGCCCAGGATTTCGAGACCAGCCTTGGCAACGTGGCAAAAACCCAACTCCACAAAAAATACAAGAATTTTCCAGGCATAGTGATGCACACCAGCAGTCCCAGCTATCTGGGAGGCCGAGGCAGGAGGATTGTTTGAGCCTGGGTGGCGGAATGAGACCCTGTTTAAAAAACAAAACAAAAACTGACAGCAAGGCACGTAAAAAATCAAATGGCCTTAAAAAGAAAATTTTTAAGGAACAAAAGGATGACAATATTTTTGTCAGAATATTTGCATTGTTGGAAACAACACAGGCTGGAAATGGTGGAACGGCATCCCGAAAGCACTGAAAGAAAACAACAGTCGATGTAAAATTCTTTTTTTTTTTTTTTTCCAATGGAGTCTCGCTCTGTTGGCTGGGCTGGAGTGCAATGGTGCAATCTCGGCTCACGGCAACCTCCGCCTCCCGGGTTCAAACTATTCTCGTGCCTCAGCCTCCTGAGTAGCAGGCACATGCCACCATGCTCAGTTAATTTTTGTATTTTTAGTAAAGACAGGGTTTCACCATGTTGGCCAGGCTGATCTTGAACTCCTGACCTCAGGTGATCCACCTGCCTCGGCCTCCCAGAGTGCTGGGATTATAGGCGAGAGCCACCGCGCCCAGCCAATTTAAAATTCTTTACCCAATGAAAACATTTTTTTCTTTAGAAAAGGTGAAATTAGTTTTTCAGAAACACAAAAATTGAAAGAGTTCATCGCCATCAGACCTGTGTCCCGGCAATGTTAAAGTGATGTCCCATTGTTACCGGGTGGAACGTCTTGACTGTGGGTTGTCCAGGTTCTTGGTGTGTTGAACAAAGAATTGAACAAAATGCACAAACAAAGCAACAAAAGAACGAAGCAATGAAAGGCAAGCAACGAAAGAAAGGAGTAACGAAAGCACAGATTTTTATTTATTTATTTTTAAAATGTTTACTGGAACGCCATGCATTGCCTTCATTTATTGTATTTCAAATCACTGTACATTTACTTTTGTGAAAACACTGCCTACATTTTCTACTACAAAAAAAAAACCTTAGAAATTGTTTCAGGAACGTGGATAACTAGTCGACTTAAATATTACCGCTGCACTACAGCCATTTCTGCAATTCCCGTTTCTTAAATAACTGTCTTGTCTGAAAACACACAATATATGGAGCAATTGTGAAAAACAGACATTTACATATACTTCTAAAGTCTTACTGAAAATGTCTTTTTGGCCCGGGATAACCAATCATAGGTGCGGCTGCAGTAGCAGGATATGAGGGTTCCTGTTGGTTCTTACCATCGTGCGTATTTGGAATATTATTTCTGTTTTGCTGAGTCGAAGGCACAGCTACATTGAGGCGGAAGTACATTCCGCAGAGTGGGAGCGGACTCGAGCAAGTGGCTCAAGACACCATCCCCCCCATTGCAATGCTCCCCAGGTTTTTATAAAGCTAAAAGATTTGGTAACACCCCTAGGTGCCCTTTAGAAGCCTCCCATTGGTTACACCCTATGAAGGATTGATCTGCGGCCAATCAGAGGCTGACGTGGAGGCTTCTGTCTTGTCATCACAGGGGTGGGGATGCGGCCTGTGTGCCGCCCAGTCTTGCCTGGAGCTGGCGGAGCCTGCTGCTCTTTTGCTTCTGCCTTAACCCTTGGTTACCCCAATTCCCTATTCTCCTGCCTCAGCATCCTCAACATATTAAGTAAGGTTAAAGTAAGCTCTGTAAGCAGAAGGAAAGTCATATCAAACGGACACAACAGTAAAGAAATAGCACCAGAAATGGCAACTATGTAGCCAAATATAGAGACGAACATTCCTGTGAGACAAGGGATTGGAACAGACTTCCCCAAAGAAGAAGTACAGATGGCAAATGAGCACACACAAAGATGCTCAGCGTCATTCGTCATCAAGGAAACACAAATTTGAACCACAGTGGGACACTGCTGCGCTCCTCCTGGAAAGGCTGGAATGTACAGGACGGACCATGCCAGCGCAGGGAAGGGTGTAGATTCGCTGGAACCCCCAGACCCTGCATGGGGGAGTGTAACATGCTACAGACATTTTAGAAATCAGCCTGGCAGTTTCTTGAAAAGTTACACCTCAGTCACCACGTGATCCAGCAGTTCCATCCCAGGTGGCCATCCAGGAGAAGGCCTCTGTCCATGTAAAGAACTTGACTTCGACATTCATAGCGGCTTTATTCATAATAGCCGTGAACGGGAGACAAGCCAAATACCCTTCAACAGGTGAATGGATAAAATAAATTGTAGTACACCCACATAAGGAAAGTTTTTCAGCTAGAAAAACAGAATGAGCTACCCCAGGGTGCAGCAACGATAACTCTCAAAAGCATTATGTTTGGTGATAGAGGACAGACTCAAAATGCTGTATCCTGGGTGGTTTCATTTATATGAAAGTCAAAACTACAGGAATAGCGAATAGAATACAGGAGCCCAGGGCGAGGGTGGAGGAGGGGATTGAGTGTAAAGAGGCCCAGGGAGGGAAAGTTTTGGTGTGATGGGAATGTTCCACGTAATCATCGTGCTGGTGGTTACACAACTAGTTTTGGTGTGATGGGAATGTTCCACGTAGTCATCGTGCTGGTGGTTACACAACTGTGTACATTTGTCAGAACTCATCAAATTATATTTAAAATTGGTGAATTTTGTTGTATGTAAATTATACCTCAGAGAGTTTTGTTGTTGTTTTCTGAGACGGGGTCTTGCTCTGTCATCCAGGCTGGAGTGCAGATGTGTGATCACAGCTCACAGCAACCTTGGCCTCCTGGGCTCAAGTGATCTGCATGCCTCAACTTCCCAAGTAGCTGGGACCACAGACGCACGTCACTACACTAGGATATTTTAAACAATTTTTTTTTTAGTAGAGATGGGGTCTTGCTATGTTTCCCAGGCTGGTCTTGAACTGCTAGGCTCAAGCGATCCCCCGCCTTGGCCTCCCAAAGTGCTGAGGTTACAGGTGTGAGCCACTGTGCCCAGCTCTAGTTTTTATTTTATTTCAATAGCTTTGCACAGGTGGTTTTTGGTTCCATGGATGAATTGTGTAGTGGTGAAGTCTGAGATTTTAGTGCACCCATCACCTGAGTAGTGTACATTGTACCCAATAGGTAGTTTTTTTTTTTTTTTTTTTGAGACAGAGATTCGCTCTTGTTGCCCAGGCTGGAGTGCAATGGCATGATCTTGGCTCACCGCAACCTCTGCCTCCCAGGTTCAAGTGATTCTCCCGCTTCAGCCTACTGAGCAGCTGGGATTACAGGCGTGCGCCACCACACCCGGCTAATTTTGTATTTTTAGTAGAGATGGGTTTCTCCATGTTGGTCAGGCTTGTCTTCAACTCCTGACCTCAGGTGATCCGCCTGCCTCAGCCTCCCAAAGTGCTTGGATTACAGGGGTGAGCCATCACACCCGGCCTCCCAATAGGTAGTTTTTTGTCCCTCATCCCCATCCCTCCCTCCTCCTCTTTGATTCTCCAGTGTTCATTATACCACTCTGCATGCCTTTGTGTACCCACAGCTTAGCTCCCGCTTATAAGTGAGAACATACAGTATTTGGTTTTCTATTCCTGAGTTGCATCACTTAGAATAATGGTCTGCAGTTCCATCCAAGTTGCTACAAAATGCATTATTTCATTCTTTTTATGACTGAGTTGTATTTCATGACATATATATGTGTGTATTTCATTATGTCTGTCCGACCATCCGTCCGTCCATCCATCCATCTATCTATCTCTCTATCTATCTATCTATCTATCTATCTATCTATCTATCTAAATCTATCTCACACTTTCTTTATCTGCTCATCAGCTGATAGGCACTTGGGTTGGTTCCATGTCTTTGCAGTTGTGAATTGTGCTGTGATAAACACACATGTGCAGGTGTCTTTTTGAGGTAATGACTTCCTTTCCTTTGGGTGGATGCCCAGTAGAGGGATTGCTGGGTCGAATGGCTAATCTACTTTTAGTTCTTTGAGAAATCTCCATACTGTTTTCTATAGAGGTTGTATTAGTTTACATTCCTGCCAGCAGTGTGTAAGCATTCCCTTTCACCACCTCCACACCAACATCTATTGTTTTTTGACTTTTTAGTGAGGCAGAAATTTAAAAATAAATATGCATTCATTCACTCTAAGAAAAGTAACAGGCAAGGCAAAGGTTAAAAAGAAAAGAACAAGTTTTCCTCTGCCTAGCAGGGGAAAGTGCAGCAGGCTCACTTCAAGGACAGTTATAAGATAACACTGTTTGAGTAGCCACCGCCAAAGGAATGGGCTCCAGACACCCCCACTCCAGAGCAAGGTTGAGGGAAAAAAGAAAGACAAATTCTTTTACTGTTACTCCTTTCCCAGGCTTCTTAAGCATGATTATGTTTTACAAATGTCTGTATTTAGCTAGTTCTTGTTTTTCTTTTGACACAGCTGTGAGGTCACTAGCTATGCAAGGCCACAAGTTATGCTAAGTCAACAGTTACGCTATAGATTACGTGACCTGTCACTGTACGATTAACTGCTTTGTTTTACTCTTGTAAGTCCGCTTATAAAAACCCTGCTCAGTCTTTGTTCAATGCTCAGCTTTTTGGATGTGAGTCCTCTGAGCCGGTACGTACCTAAAATAAACAACAATCCTCCTGTACTCCATAGTGGTCTCTCCGTTCCTCAGTTTACCACAACATTAATAATGGCCATTCTGGCTGGGATAAGGTGGTATCTCATTGTGGTTTTAATTTGCATTTCCCTAATGATTAGTGATGTCAAGCATTTTTCATGTGTTTCTTGGCCATTTGTTTATCTTCTTTTGAGAAATGTCTATTCGTGTCATTTGCCCACTTTTTAATGAGATTGTTTTTCTTTTCTTGCTGATTTGAGTTCCTTGCAGATTCTGATTATTAGTTCTTTATCAAATGCATAGTTTGCAAACATTTTCTCCCATTCTGCGGGTGTTCTGTTTACTCTAATGATTCTTTCTTTTGCAGTGCAGAAGGTTTTTAGTTTAATTAGGTCCCACTTATTTATATTTGGTTTTGTTGCATTTGCTTTTGGGGTCTTGGTCATAAATTCTTTGCCAAGGCTGATGTCCAGAAGAGTTTTGCCTAGGTTTTCTTCTAGAATTTTTATGGTTTCAGATCTTAGATTAAAGTCTTTAATTCATTTGAGTTGATTTTTGTATATGCTGAAAGATAGGTATCCAGTTTCATTCTTCTACACGTGGCTCACCAGTTTTTCCTAGCATCTATTGAATACGGTTTTGTTTGCTTTATCAAAGATCAGTTGGTCGTAAGGATTTGGCTTTATTTCTTCATTCTCTATTCTGTTCTATTGGTCTGTTATCTACTTTTGCACCAGTATCATGCTGTTTGGTAACTATAGCCCTGTAGTATAGTTGGAAGTCAGGTAATGTGATGCCTCCAGATTTGTTCTTTTTGCTTAAGATTGCTTTGCCTATTGAGGCTCTTTTTTGGTTCCAAATGAATTTTAGCATTGTTTTTCTAATTCTGTGAAAAAGGAATGTTGGTATTTTGATAGGAATTGCACTGAATCTGTAGATTGCTTTGGGCAGTTTGGTCATTTTCACAATATTGATTCTTCCAATAAGTGAGCATGGGATATATTTCCATTTGTGTCATCTGTGATTTCCTTCAGCAGTGTTTGTAGTTCTCCTTGTAGAGATCTTTCACCCCCTTGGGTACATATATTCCTAGGTATTTTATTTTTTTGCAGCTATTGTAAAAGGGATTGAGTTCTTGATTTGATTCTCAGCTTGGTCATCGTTGGTGTATAGCAGTGCTACATTGATGTTGTGACCTGAGGCTTTACTGAATTCATTTATCGAATCTAGGAGTCTTTTGGAGGAGTCTTTAGGGCTTTCTAGGTATAAGATCATACCATTGGCAAACAGGTAGTTTGAATTCCTCTTTTCCAATTTGAATGTCCTTTATTTCTTTCTCTTGCCTGATGGCTCTGGCTAAGAAATTCAGCTAGTTTGCAAAAGCAAAGAAAAGAGGGTATCAGCCTGGGAAAAGGCATACAGGAAGATAGCTCAAAGTGAGCACATTAGATTCAGGGCGAACAGGTGTGTGTGGAGTAGGGTTTGAGGGCTACTGAGTGGAACTCTCAGATCGCAGAGGGAGGACCCATTCTCCCCCACCATCGGGGTGGCTGGGCTGGTCATTGTGGGGAGCTGGCTCGTGGCCAGCGTGGATGTCCTCCCCTCTGTGAGTTGGCTCTCTGCCCCGCGCCACCAGGAGGATGTCCTTTGTTATTTCACACTCAGCCTGCACGTGGGCAGCAGATGCAGGAGACAAGGAGACACGGGACACCTGGGGGTAGGTTTGGGATGGGCAGGTGGAGAATCCGTCTTAGTTGGTGGTAATGGAATGGTTTTAGTAGGTGGAAGTTACAAAGAAGCTTGTTTTGGTTTACCATGGAGTACAAGGGTACCATGGGGAGCCGAGCTGTCCAAATACAGAACTGGCTCTTTGCAGGCTGTCTGGTTGAGTGTGTGTTGGGGATGTTGCTGAGAGGATCTTGTCCTGCTGAGGGCTAGATAGGGCTCTTGAACGGTCCAAGTCAGCTTCCCATGAGGGGTCCCAGGGCCCCACAGCATCCGAGACTGAACCTGACAGGCCCACGGAAGGGCTGGTAGCTAACAGTCAGCACCCCAGCTGCAGTGGGACCCCTTGGCCTCCCTCCTGGGCTCCAGCTCCAGGCCTGGAAGGGCTGAACAGGCGGATGCAGTCCCAGCTGACAGGAAGTCTGAGGAGCAGCTTGTAATGAGCTTCGTTGGCTGACAGGTTTTTTTTTTATTAAAAAAATTTGTTTTTTTTGAGACAGAGTCTCGCTCTGTCACCAGGCTGGAGTGCAGTGGCATGATCTTGACTTGCTGCAAACTCTGCCTCCTGGGTTCAAGCAATTCTCCTGCCTCAGCCTCCTGAGTACCTGGTATTACAGGCATGCACCACCACCTGGCTGATTTTTGTATTTTTAGTAGAGACGGGGTTTCGCCACGATGGCCAGGCCAGTCTCAAACTCCTGACCTCGGGTGATCCTCCCGCCTCAGCCTCCCAAAGTACTGGGATTACAGGCGTGAACCACCGCGCCCAGCTGGCTGACAGTTTTATGTTACCACGAGTGCAGCTCCTTGTCAGGGCAGGTCTGTGATTGTGCTACGGCTCATTAACGAGATTGCAAATCATGCGTCTCTCCTGTGTGTGCCCACTCCCCCTGCAGGCCTCCGTGGCACTCAGTAAGCAGCGGGCTCAGGGAGAGCGTCCTGGATGGTCACCATGCAGGTAAGATGAGGAGGACACTTGGAACCAGGCATTGGATGCGAGCCCCACCCCATGGGAGGGGGACGGGGGGATGCTGGGCACCAGGGGGACCTGTGGGCCAGCTGGCCCTGGGCTTGTGCTTGGGGAGTGAATGATGGGTTCTGACCCCCATGCACCCCTGTGGGCCCCTGGCATCACTGGCCCCATCCTTCACCCCTGCCAACCACGCTTGCCCTGTGCCTCTGAAGCTCCCCCACTAAGGGGGTGGAGTCTAATTCCCTGCCCCTTGACTGTGGGTTCAGCCATGTGACTTGCTTTGACTGAGGGGATGTTCACGGGGCATGTGGTGCTCTGAACTGAGAGCTGCGGTGACCAGGCTGCTGTCCTGTGTTGCTGCCATCAGTGAGGGTGGCTAGCCTGCTGGTCAGGGGGAGGATGAGGGAGTGGGGGGCAGAGCTCAGCTGCCCCAGCGGCCTGGCCTGGACCAGCCAACCAAATGCTGACTCTGTGCTGCTGAGATCGTGTTTGTGTTTGTTACTCAGCAACTAGCTGATACACGGTCCCAGCAACAGACAAGGAAGCCCAGAGGTAGCTAAGTGACACTCCCAAGGCTACACAGCATCTCCTACTGGGAGCTGTGTAAGAAATGACCCCCCCCAAACCCTCCATCCTGGCAGCTGAGGGATGAAGGAGAGACCCAGTCCTCCTGTTGTCCACCTCCTCAATATCTAGGTGGGACCCCTACAGTATCTTGATTTTTTAATGTTGACAATTGTGGTCAGCTGAAAAATCCCCCCCCACCCCCACCGCCCTAAAAGAAAAACAGCCCGTGAAGGTGACCTTATTTGGAAATAGAGTCTCTGCAGATATGATCAAGTTGAAGGTCTCAAGATGAGATCTTTCAGGACTAGTCATAGGCCCGAAATCCAATGGGAAGTGTCCATATGTAAGAGGGAGATGGAGGGAGGTTACACTAAGATGAAGTGAAGATGGAGGTGGAGACGGGAGTGATGTGGGCGTGAGCCAAGGAACTGGAGGCTGGAAGAGGCAGTGAGGGCTCGTCCCCTAATTCCCCGGAGGGAGCTCAGCCTTGCCGACCCCTTGATTTCGGCCCAGGGATACTGATCTCAGACTTTTGGCCTCCAGGACTGGGAGAGCATAAATGTCTTTCTTTTAAGCCACCGAGTTTGTGGGACTTTGTTACCTCAGGAAACAAATACAACAGTATATTCAACACTGTGAAGTGTGCTGTGCCAGGTGGACCGTGCCTGAGGCTGGGCCGGCCTGTGGTCTGCAGCATTGACCCCTTCTGAGCCCCCTGAGGGAGCCCCTGCCTGCCCCAGGCCAGGGTCTCAGTGCATCCGGCTGTCTCTGCCGAGGCCGCAGACCCTCCCTCTTGCACCTCCGTGTGCTTGAGATGAAGAGCCGGCGCTGTGTCCTCAGGCTGCTGAGGGGTAGCCCTTGGGTGGCTGGCCGTGGTCTCAGGGGCAGGAACGGCACAGGGGGCTGAGCAGGGATTTCAGGTGCTGTCCCTGCCCGACCCTCCCAGTTGGCCCAGCTGACTTCCCCTGCCTGGCTCAGCAGCGAGGGGCCCAGCAGCAGGGAGGTCAGTACCTTGGACAGCGTCCTGCAGCCCCCTGTGAGCCGAGGAGGGCTGTGTGTGTGTGTGTGTGTGTGTGTTTGCACGTGTGCATGTGTGTGCATGTGCACATGTGTGAGTGAGTGGGGGGTGCAGGGTCCCGCAGCTGGCTGGGCCATGCCTCTTTTGTCTGCCCTGCGGGTGGGTCTGTCAATACCTGGCTGAGTGGCCAGTGCCGTGGATGAGTGGCTCTGCCCAGCATAGGCCTGTGAACTGACCTCTCTGAATCCTCCTGGGACAGAGGAGTGACAGCGACCCCCATCCTGGGAAATGACCCAAGAGAAGGCCTCTGGGGCTCCCTGGAAAGGGCCTCAAGCTGGATTTTTCAGGTCGTTTGCCAGGCCCTGACCTCTAGGCCTGTAAGCTCCCCACTTGAAGCTGGGAGGGGGGTGCTTCGCAGATCACCTGACCCTCACCCCCACCACAGGGCCTCACCCTGGGAGTCTGATTACAAGGAGTGTCCCCCCACCAGGACTCCGGTCCCAGGCCTACAGCAGTTGCCTAATTGTGAATGTAATTAACTGCTCGCACCCTCAAAATTAGCAAGTGGTTAATTGTGCCTGTAATTATCAACTGCACCCATGATTAACCGTGTGAGTGGTTTTTTGTTATGCAAGTCAGTGTACATGTGAATTGTGCCCCAGGAAAAGGAAGGTGGGGGGGTGCCCAGGGCTGGGGGAGGGGAGAGGGTGGGAGGGGGCCCAGGGCTGGGGGAGGGGAGAGGGTGGGAAGAGGGGCCCAGGGCTGGGAGGGAGTCCCAGGGCTAAGGGAGGTGAGAGAATGGGACAGAGGGGCCAGGGCTGGGGAAGGGGAGAGGGTGGGAGGGAGGTGCCCAGGGCTAGGGGAGGGGAGAGGACGGTAGGGGGAGGCCCAGGGCTGGTGGGAGGGAGGGTGGGAAGGAGGGGCCCAGGGCTGTGGAAGGGGAGAGTGTGGGAGGGAGGGCCCAGGGCTGTGGAGGGGCGGTTGCAGGGCTGGGGAAGGGGAGAGGGTGGGAGGGAGGGCCCAGGGCTGGGGGAGGGAAGGGGTCACCACTGGGCCCAGCCCTGTGGCCTGCCCTTCGGGGAGCTGGGACTGACTGGCTCCTGAGGCGGAGGTGGAGGCTGCTGGGTTGGGCACCAGCGTGGGGCTCAGGTCAGACTGCTGCTGCCCAGCAGGGGCCGGAGGGCTGCCTGCTTCTTCGAGCTCAGTTTCCTCAGCCTTTGAGCTCAGCCTCCACAGGTCCAGGGTGGCTGGCACTGACACTGTGCAGGGGCTCCACTCTTGAGCCACTACCAGTGTGGACTCAGGCTCTCAGGGCAGGTGGGGTCAGGGGACTGGGCCAGTCGTAGAGCTTTGAGGACCCAGAGTCTGGTGTGGGAGAACCCGTTTGTGCCTGGACTCATGGCCTGGAGGGCTGGGATTCTATAGTGGGGAGGCGAGGCCAGGGCGCCAAGGTGATCAGAGGGGCACATTGGCTTGTGAGAGGCAGGCAGAGCAGGGGGGCAGATCATGGGGCTGTGAGCCCACGACCCCCAGCTTGGCTGGGACTTGGCAGGAGAATGTCCTTCCTGGGCGGCGCCCATGGCAGACCCACCTTACAGCCGTGTGCCAGAGCGGGTGCAGATGGGTGGGATGGCTGGGAGGCTCAGCCTGGGCAACTGGGGTATTGGGGCAGCCTGGGGGGTCCTGGATAGTTGTCTGCAGTGATGGGCAGTGAGTGGCCTGGCCCAGCCACACACGGGCAGTCTCTCAATGCACAGACACCGCTGCACTGACCCTACATGGGGCCTGGCTGGTTTGGGATGGAGGCTGTCCCGGCTGGGTCCCCTTCATCATAGCCAGGCAGGCGCTGGGAGCTGATGCTTGTGCCCTCCAGAGGCCCACAGGGAAGGCGGGTCCTGACCACTGAGGGCCTCCGAGGTCAGGCCCAGGACTGTGGACTTTGTCTCAGGTGTGTTGGGAGACTCAGCGTTCCCCTAGAGTTGGGAATGCAGCTCAAGTTCACGTCCAAACTCAATATGCTCTGGAGGGACCCTTCCCCCACCCAGTACCACAGCCTCCTGATACAGTGCTCTCTGCGTCCTGGAGGTGTCCTGTTGCTGCGTCCTCCAGGGACGCGGGTGCTGTGTTCTCACATGGACAAGAGCAGAAGGCGAAGGGGGAGCCTCTTTTATCAGAGCACCAATGTCATGCACGAGGTGGGAGCCCCTGGGACCAGGATGGCATCTTATCAAAGGGCAGGAGGTAGAGAGCTGGGCCTTTCTGCCCCTCACCTTCCACCATGTGAGGACACCTGGATGGCACCATCTGTGTGGGGCAGGCCCTCACCCAGCACCAACCCTGTGGTGCCTGGATCCCGGACTCCCGGCCACCAGACCTGACCCATGTTCCCGTCCATCGTGATCAAGTACCCAGTCCCGGCAATAGGTGGTTACAGCACCACACATGAGACAGCTGGTTACTGGACATAGTGAGTTGGCCTCCTGGGCTGGTTAGTATGGATAATAGGCCGGCTTCCTGGGCTGGTTAGTGTAGTTAATGGACTAGTTCCCACCCGGTTAGTGTAGTTAATGGCTTGCTTTTCTGGGCTGGTTAGTGTAGTTAATGGACTAGCTTCTCACATAGTTAGTGTTGATAATGGGCTGGTTGATAATGGGCTGATTAGTGTACTTAATGGGTTGTTTTCCTGGGCTGGTTAGTATAGTTAATGGACTAGTTTCCCACTGGCTTAGTGTTGATTAGGGCTGGTTTCCAGGGTAGTTAGTATAGTTAATAGGTTGTTTTTCTGGGCTGGTTAGTGTAGTTAGTGGACTACCTTCCCACCTGGTTAGTGTAGTTAATGGGTAGTTAATACCCCAGAGCTTCTGGAGGCTGGGCAGGTGCTGTCTTTCAGGAGGTGGTCATCAGGGCCCTGGGCAGCCGCTGAGCAAGGGTCCCCCATGCTTCTCAGTCCTGGAACCCAAACCCTCAGCTCCCACGGTGCAGAGAGTCACAGTGCTCCTCATCGTCAGTGAGACAGGGAGGCCAGTACAGACAGTCGCAGTGCTCCTCGTCGTCGGTGAGAAGGGGCGGCCACGGTGCAGACAGTATCAGTGCTCCTCAGCATTGGTGAGAAGGCGTGGCCACGGTGTAGACACTCTGAATGCTCCTCATTGTCAGTGAGAAGGGGCTCCCATGGTGCAGACAGCCGCGATGCTCCTCATCGTTGATGAGAAGGGGCGGCCACGGTGCAGACAGTCACAATGTTCCTCATCGTTGGGGAGAAGGGGCGGCCATGGTGCAGACAGCCGCGATGCTCTTCGTCGTTGGTGAGAAGGGGCGGCCACGGTGCAGACAGTCGCAGTGCTCCTCAGCATCGGTGAGAAGGGGCGGCCACGGTGCAGACAGTCACAATGTTCCTCATCGTTGGGGAGAAGGGGCGGCCATGGTGCAGACAGTCGCAGTGCTCCTCATCGTTGGTGAGAAGGGGCGGCCACGGTGCAGACAGTCACAATGCTCCTCATCGTTGGTGAGAAGGGGCGGCCATGGTGCAGACAGTCACAATGCTCCTCATCGTTGGGGAGAAGGGGCGGCCATGGTGCAGACAGCCGCGATGCTCCTCGTCGTTGGTGAGAAGGGGCGGCCACGGTGCAGACAGTCCCAGTGCTCCTCATCGTTGGGGAGAAGGGGCGGCCATGGTGCAGACAGTCTGAATGCTCCTCATCGTTGGTGAGAAGGGGCGGCCACGGTGCAGACAGTCACAATGCTCCTCATCGTTGGGGAGAAGGGGCGGCCATGGTGCAGACAGCCGCGATGCTCCTCGTCGTTGGTGAGAAGGGGCGGCCACGGTGCAGACAGTCCCAGTGCTCCTCATCGTTGGTGAGAAGGGGCGGCCATGGTGCAGACAGTCTGAATGCTCCTCATCGTTGGTGAGAAGGGGCGGCCACGGTGCAGACAGTCACAATGTTCCTCATCGTTGGGGAGAAGGGGCGGCCATGGTGCAGACAGCCGCGATGCTCCTCGTCGTTGGTGAGAAGGGGCGGCCACGGTGCAGACAGTCCCAGTGCTCCTCATCGTTGGGGAGAAGGGGCGGCCATGGTGCAGACAGTCTGAATGCTCCTCATCGTTGGTGAGAAGGGGCGGCCACGGTGCAGACAGTCACAATGTTCCTCATCGTTGGGGAGAAGGGGCGGCCATGGTGCAGACAGCCGCGATGCTCCTCGTCGTTGGTGAGAAGGGGCGGCCACGGTGCAGACAGTCCCAGTGCTCCTCATCGTTGGGGAGAAGGGGCGGCCATGGTGCAGACAGTCTGAATGCTCCTCATCGTTGGTGAGAAGGGGCGGCCACGGTGCAGACAGTCGCAGTGCTCCTCAGCATCGGTGAGAAGGGGCGGCCACGGTGCAGTCAGTCACAATGCTCCTCATCGTTGGGGAGAAGGGGCGGCCATGGTGCAGACAGCCGCGATGCTCCTCGTCGTTGGTGAGAAGGGGCGGCCACGGTGCAGACAGTCCCAGTGCTCCTCATCGTTGGTGAGAAGGGGCGGCCATGGTGCAGACAGTCTGAATGCTCCTCATCGTTGGTGAGAAGGGGCGGCCACGGTGCAGACAGTCACAATGTTCCTCATCGTTGGGGAGAAGGGGCGGCCATGGTGCAGACAGCCGCGATGCTCCTCGTCGTTGGTGAGAAGGGGCGGCCACGGTGCAGACAGTCGCAGTGCTCCTCATCGTTGGTGAGAAGGGGCGGCCACGGTGCAGACAGTCGCAGTGCTCCTCATCGTTGGTGAGAAGGGGCGGCCACAGTGCAGACAGTCGCAGTGCTCCTCATCGGTGAGAAGGGGCGGCCACGGTGCAGACGGTCGCAGTGCTCCTCGTCGTTGGTGAGAAGGGGCGGCCACGGTGCAGACAGTCGCAGTGCTCCTCATCGGTGAGAAGGGGCGGCCATGGTGCAGACGGTCGTAGTGCTCCTCAGCATCAGTGAGAAGGGGCGGCCACGGTGCAGACGGTCGCAATGTTCCTCATCATCAGTCGGGGCGGCCACGGTGCAGACAGTCGCAGTGCTCCTCGTCGTCGGTGAGAAGGGGCTCCCACGATCCAGACAGTCGCAGTGCTCCTCATCGTCGGTGAGAAGGGGCAGCCATGGTGCAGACGGTCGCAGTGCTCCTCGTCGTCGGTGAGAAGGGGCGGCCACGGTGCAGACGGTCTCAGTGCTCCTCAGCGTTGGTGAGAAGGGGCGGCCACGGTGCAGACAGTCACAATGTTCCTCATTGTTGGGGAGAAGGGGTGGCCATGGTGCAGACAGTCGCAGTGCTCCTCATCGTCGGTGAGAAGGGGCGGCCACGGTGCAGACAGTCGCAGTGCTCCTCGTCGTCAGTGAGAAGGGGCGGCCACGGTGCAGACAGTCGCAGTGCTCCTCGTCGTCGGTGAGAAGGGGCTCCCACGATCCAGACAGTCGCAGTGCTACTCATCGTCGGTGAGAAGGGGCGGCCACGGTGCAGACGGTCGCAGTGCTCCTCGTCGTCGGTGAGAGGGGGCGGCCACGGTGCAGACGGTCGCAGTGCTCCTCGTCGTCGGTGAGAGGGGGCGGCCACGGTGCAGACGGTCGCAGTGCTCCTCGTCGTCGGTGAGAGGGGGCGGCCACGGTGCAGACGGTCGCAGTGCTCCTCGTCGTCGGTGAGAGGGGGCGGCCACGGTGCAGACGGTCGCAGTGCTCCTCGTCGTCGGTGAGAGGGGGCGGCCACGGTGCAGACGGTCGCAGTGCTCCTCGTCGTCGGTGAGAGGGGGCGGCCACGGTGCCGACGGTCGCAGTGCTCCTCGTCGTCGGTGAGAGGGGGCGGCCACGGTGCCGACGGTCGCAGTGCTCCTCGTGGTCGGTGAGAGGGGGCGGCCACGGTGCAGACGGTCGCAGTGCTCCTCGTGGTCGGTGAGAGGGGGCGGCCACGGTGCAGACGGTCGCAGTGCTCCTCGTGGTCGGTGAGAGGGGGCGGCCACGGTGCAGACGGTCGCAGTGCTCCTCGTCGTCGGTGAGAGGGGGCGGCCACGGTGCAGACGGTCGTAGTGCTCCTCGTGGTCGGTGAGAAGGGGCGGCCATGGTGCAGACAGTCGCAGTGCTCCTCATTGCTGGTGAGACGGAGCGGGACTGCTCCCCTGACCTTGGATGCTCCTGAGCTGGGCTGCCCAGAGGGAGGCACCTGAGGTCCCCTCTCCTAGGGGAGAGGGGACTCATGGTGGCTGCGTGCCAGACCAGAAGCCTGTCCGGTATCTGGGTCTCTTCCCCCGTACCTCAGCCCTTGCTCCTCCAGCCCCCTGTCTCCATCGCCTCTCCCAGGCCGTCCCTGCCAGCAGCTTTGGTCGCCAGCAGCTTTGGTCACCCTTCCTGGCCCTCCCCCATGTGTTGACCTGTCTGGAGCCCCTCCCCCCACCATATGGAGGCAGAACTGAGGAGGGGACATGTTTGTTGCAGGGTCCCGTGCCTGGTACAGGGTTATGCTGAGTGTCACCCCCAACCCCCAGCACCACCCTTGTTTTTACAGGGGAGGCAGTGGAGGGCTTCGCAGAGCATCTTCCCTGCTGAGGAGGGTGGGCTGGGCTGGGCCTGGCTTCAGGCGTCGGAGAGCTGGGGCAGTCAAGTCTATGTCTCTAAGGAGCCCCCCAGTGACTTTGAGGCCAGAGCTCTGTGGGGTGAGGGAGATGCCTGGGCTATTCTGCTGGTTCTGTGTCCTGGGAGGCCCCCAGGGACACAGGGAGGCCTGAGTTCAAACCCCGCTTGCAGTGGGCGACTGCCCCTCTCTGAGCCTCAGTTTCCTCATCTGTAAAGTGGGGGTGACCATAGCCTTTCCACGGCCGGTTCTGTGGGACCCAGAGTAAGGCCTTGGGAAAGGTGGCATTGTCTGTGCCTGTCCTCTCCATCCGAGGGGGCTCCCTGGGCACGGTGGATGGGCATGGAGTGCCCGTGAGCCTCTGTGTAGGAGCCTGGTCCACAGGGCATTGCGCTGGGGAAGCCTCCAGAGCTCACGTCCCCTCCCCTACAGAGGACTAGGCCTGAACATGGCCCCCAGAGCTGCCCTTTGGGGACCAGCGGTGATGGCCTCAGCTGGAAGGGCCTGGGGAATGCTGGACCACGTGCCTGCAGAAGGCCCAGCTCACTGCCAAGGTGAGCCCCACTGAGGGGTACAGCACTGCTGCATGGCCTGTGCCGACCCTGAGGGGCCACTGAGATGGTGTGCCACCGTCCCCTGGCACCCAGGCCTCCAGCAGGGCACCTCTGGCTGCAGTGGTGACCAGCCTCCTGCCTGGCCATCCCAGGAGGCCCGGCCCAGGGACTTGAGCCGCCTCATGCCCCCCGCCTAGGATAAGGCAGTGACAGGAAAGAGGGAAGCAGGAAGCGTGGAGAGGACAGGAGGCACGGAGGGCAGAGGGTGGGAGAGGCACCTTCAGAGGCCCAGCTGGTGTCACCACTGCAGGAGAGCCTCCACCTGAGACTGGGGAAATGAAGTGGGGAGGGAGTGATGCATGCAACACCTGGCATCCGTGAGTGGGGCTCCGGGGCTTGGTGGTTTTATCTGCTGATGTCGGCTGTGGCTGCGGAGGGTTTGCATCCAAACATGTCGGTGGCCAGAGGCCTGTCTCAGTGCATGTGCTGCCTATGTTTGCAAGTATGTGAACGAATGTGTGTGTGTGCACACGTGCATTGCATGCATGTGCATATACACGTGGGTATGCCTGTGTGCTCATGTGTATGCAAGCATATACATGTGTGCACGTGTCCGCTTGCTGGCACTTCAGCCCATTTGACTGTGCCCCCACCACAGGGGGAGGAGTCTACAGGGCTGGGGGCCATGTGCTCGCCCCTCCAGACACCTCTGGGCACCAGGACCCTGAAACTCCTCACAAAGTGCCTTGAGCCCCCTCTCTGGTCTGCTTAGGCCTCTCCTGCATTTTCACCAGGTGGACCTGTCCCGAGGCCCAAGGGATACTGTTTGTTGGGGGCTTAGGTGAAGCCTGGGGCATCCAAATGCCTACACGCAGGCCCCCTGGGGCACTGGGCAAAGCCGGAGGTGGGAAGAGACGGAGGTGGGAAGAGCCACAGGCCCAGGCCAGCTCCTTCCTTGCTGCCACTTTTGGCACCACACTCCAAGGAGTCTGAGAATTCCAAATTGGCCCGGGCATTCCATGGAGTCCGGGAGGTGTATATGCCAAGGTAGGAGGGGAATGTGATTTTGCTTGTTAGTTTCATGGATACCTTCTAAACCCTTTAAAACATTGAGACAGATGGCATGTGGGCCCACAGGTGTGAGGAGCGGGCCTGGCTTTGTTCTTTCTGTTTTCCCGCAGCCTAGGACAGCGCCTCGAGCTGCACAGGTGTTCAAGAAGTGTGTTCAGCATGCATGGAGCTCATGGTGGCCGCCACCTCCCCCGTGTGCACCCACCTGCTGTCCCGGAGCACCATCTGTTTCTCGAATGCTTGGAAGAAAATCAAGCCAGGACGATGCCGACTACGGAAAAGGGGGACTTTATTCATTCTCTGGAGCAGCGCGCCCCGCCTGCCCGCGCACAACCGCTCCGCAAGGGTCTACTGAGTTCAGGACCAAGACTGTCTGGCACTGGAAACACACTGAAAACATCAACTCTCTTCCCTTTTTTTTTCCTTTTTTTTTTTGGTACAAAATGATACAAACAACAATACAAAATAGTTGTGCTGTTGACGATTACAAAAAAAGGTGGAACGTTTAACCTCGCGATGCTCAGATTTGCAGGTGTGAGTACATCATACTCCAGTATCTTTCCCCAAAACAACTGTGCTCATGCAGGCTGCTACACATTTTGCCCATTTCAAAAAGAAACATGCAAAAAAAATCGGAATGAAAAAAGGAGAGAAAAGAAAAGTAAAACGCATTCCAATTGTACAGAGAGGTGGTCCCCCGCTGGGCCTGTTGTGAGGTACTGTCCCTCCTACGGACCCACGGCGCCACGAGCTGGGTCACGTGTGTCTGGGAGATTCTGTGTTGATTCTTTTGGTGTTATTCCTTTGAGCACTGACAGAAATTGAGACTACCCCTCGCCCAGCTTTTTGCTTTGGAGAGAACAGAATTATCATCTCAGTGGACTGTGTGTGTCGGCTGGTGCTCATGCTAGGGAAACTGAGGCATCTCTGAGAGCCTGACAGTTGGACATTGCTCTGACACGTTGGTGGCAGGAGGCCTAGCATTTTGGATGTGCTGAAAGACACTACAAAGAGAAACCTGCTGGGCCAGAAATTGGGGCTGCCCAGGCCCTGAAGAGGACTGTGGCCCTAGGCTGGGGGCTGCCTGCTGACCAAGGCCAGTCGTTCCTGCCACTCCAACCTGCAGCACAGGTTTCTCCTGTTTGCAAAACAAAAATTCCCTAAAGGAACCAAACCATGCCCTCGCACCTGGCCAGCATTGGCCTCCCGGCCTCCAGTGGGAGTCCCCTGATTATAGGCAGTCGTATCTACAAGCTTAAGGAAGAGAGACGTTCGACACTGATTGTATGCTTAGCTAACGCTAACTCAAGTTCAGAGGTGGAGCTGGGAAGGTGCAGGAACCCCATCTTTCTCTGGCCCCCAGGGGCTCACCAGGGTGGGGGTAGAGGGGAAGCTGTCCAGCTGTTTGGAGCAGGGATGGGCACAGGAAGCCCTATGAACATCCCTCCAGCTGGCACTGCAGCTTCCGCCTGCGTGATTTGGGCAAAAGGAACGGGGGCTTGGCAGTGACAAGAGGCTGTGGGCGAGGAGGGGGAGCTAGTGGGAGGCGGCCAATGTCGCCCAGCCCTCCTGGGTAGCGGCGGCTGCTGGCGGGACTGGGGTCTCCTGGTGCTGGGTCCTGGGAACATCAGCCCGGAGTTCAGGGAACCCAAGGAGGCCTCGAAATTTCAGAGAAAGGAGTTCATGCTGCCCTGGCTCCCGGGCCATAGTCACACTTCGAACAATCCACGCATACTCCGAAGGACTGAAGCATGGACTTCCCCAAACAACAACAGAGATTTCCAGTCCTTCCACTACCCGCCCAGCTATACCTCCAACGGCCATGCCCCCCCACACAGGAGCATTCTTGTTTGCATAGCACAGCTCAGAACTCGGGGACCCCGGTGCGGCCTGGCCAGCTGCCCCTTGACCTCTGTTGGTCCATCTCCTGGACTGGCTGTCTGCAGAGGGGGGCACCCAGCACGTGGCACAGTGAACCCCGCCCTCCCTGGGCAGCCATGGGAGGGTCAGAAAGGACAGGTTGGAGACTGAGACCCCAGCTCAACTCTGAAGGCTGCACAGGGGCAGCTGTGAGTTTGGTTTGGACAAGGACCCTGACATCCAACGGGAACATGCCGTGAGCCTGGCACAGATGTGTGCACTCAAGGCCAAAGCTGTTCAGAAAAGGCATGACCTTAGCCATGGGGAAGGGCCATAGGCTGAGGTGGGGGCCGGGGCCCCTGGTGGAGCTCATGCTGCCCCCAAAGGCACCCCGAGACACTCCCTGACCCCAGTGGCAGGTGCAGGGTGGGGCTCCGGGAGGGCTCCCTGTCCTTCCCCAGTGCTGGCACCGCCCTGCCCGACACCAGGTCCTGCCCAGGGTCCCTGGTACCTCACCTCCTTCCTCGGGAAGCCAGTTGTCACTGGCCTGGGAGAGACAGAAAGCTGACCAAGCACGAGGCTTCCCCACGTGGGGCCTGCCCCCTGCCGCAGCCCAAGGCGCCCAGACACAGCCATGCCAGAGGGAGAATGCACCCTCTGAGTTTTCTCATGCAGTGAGCACAGGCAGCCGAGCGCTGTCCCAGGGGTGCCGGGACACAGACCCTCTCACTGTCCTGCAGAACCAATTCCTTCCCCCTGTCTGGCTTGAGTCAACCCAGCCCTGGAGATAGCAGTGCCAGCCTCGAGGACAGCAGCAAGTTTGGACCCGGCCGCTGCCTGCCCCCGACGAGGGTCCATAGGAGAGGAGAGGCACCGTCTGCAGCGTGCAGAGGCACCTGTGCGACAGGTAGGCACGGCAAGACGGGGCCTCCTGCCACCCACACAGGCTCACAAGCGTCTGGCGGGAATCAGGAGCACAGGCTGGGGACGGGGAGGCTTCGCAGGCTGCTGGGTGTGTTCTGGTCACCACGCCCAACCGTAACTGCCCTCTTCAGCTGCCAGGGAGGGTCCTTGGTTCCTGCCATCTGCACAGCCCTCCGGATGGTTGGAGCTGTCGAGAGTGTCCTGGGGTTTGAATTGATGCCTGTCGCGGGGCCGTTGATGGCACCCCATGGGGTCTGGTCGCCAGGGTTGGAGGGCTGGAGCCAGATGCTGGCTGGTTTGGACAACTCACTCTTCTGGACCAAAGGCAGAGGGGACCTGGTGGCACTCAGGGTGACAGGTGTCCCTGAGGGAGGCCTGGGTTGACTGGGGGTGGAGCCCCTTCAGGATGACCCCTGTTCCCCTCCAGGCCCCTGCCTGAGCTCCTCACAGCATCCGGGAGGGGGTGGGGAGCAGCCACAAGGTAGGGGTATTCTGAGCCCCACCAGCCCCAGGGCCTTCTGCTGGGGCTGAAGGGCTAAGCCTCCCAGCTGGCCTTGACTCCCAAGAGGCTCAAGAGACCCCCAGCTGTGTACAGCAAAGGCTGCTGGGATTTGAACCCCACTCTGTTTTCAAACAAGTCACCCACTTTCTTTTTCTTAATAAAAGACCAAAAAAAAAGTAAGAAAGACAGACACAGTCTCCCCCATTTCTGAATGATGCCTTCAGAGCTGGGACTAGCTGGGGTTGGAGGCCGCTCGGGATGGGAAGGTGGGGACGGTCTGTCTGCTTTAGACACTCCTGAGTTTGAGGGAATCTGATACATGTACCAAAAGGCACTTTCTTTTTTTTTTTTTTTTCTTTCTTTCTTCTTTTTTTTTTTTTTTTTTTTAAAAACAGTGCTTCTGTTCTAGGAAATTCAAGTGAAGACAGAGTGCCTCTTGCTGTCCTTCAGTGCCAGCCAGCGCGGTGCTGGGCAGCGGCCGGGTGCAGGGCGCTGTGGGGGTGGGTGCTCATGCTAGACAGCTCAACGTGGGGATTGGGGGGCCTCCTAACAGCACTAAGGACACAGCCGCAGGGAGTCGGGAAGACCGGCCGCCTCTGCTCAGTCCTGCTCCTCCGGCGTCCGAGCACGGCTCTCACTTCGGTCCGAAGATGCGAGGTCAGTCAATCCTCTTCACCACCTCCATACATGTCCGCCAGCTTCTTGAATCTGGGCCCCCAGTCGTTGAGGTAATCGTAGTCTTGGTCCCCGGAACTGGATGAGTTCAGGGAGCTGACGGAGCCTGCGGTGGAGCCGCTCCCCTCGTAGTCGAAGACCAGCAGGGAGTCATAGGGGGGTGCCGTGGGGTCGTTGTCAGCAGCGCGGAGTCCCTGGGGGTCACAGACACAGAGTTAGGGTGCAGGACGCGTTGTCTCAGCCCCGGGATCGGACGGAACGGAAAGCGAGGCCCAGAAGAAGAGGTAGGGAGGTAGGACGTTGCATAAAGTAGGTGTCCAATAAGGGCTCTCTGCATTTAACTGAAGGGCATTTCCGAGTAGAAAAGGGCATTTGTGAAGATGGAGCGTGGGAGTGTTGAAGGGGCAAACTCAAATCCAGCAGCAGTCTGTGGGCAGGGGAGGCGGAGGGTTGGGCAGGGCCCGTGGCTGGAGTTCAGCTCCTCCCAACCCAAGGGCAGATGAGGGGGGTGTGGGAGAGGGGGGAGGGGGTGTGGGGGAAGGGGAGGGGGTGTGGGGGAAGGTGGAGGTGTGGGAGAGGGTGGGGGGGTGTGAGGGTTTATAGGGGAAGGGCAGGGGGGTGTGGGAGAGGGCAAGGGGTGGTGTGGGGGAGGTGAGGGCTGGGCCATGTGGCTGAAGCTCAGCTCCTCCCTAAGGGGGCAGGCAGATGGTTCTCCAGTCTAGCTGACCATTGTCTGGAGGGAAAGGGGACCTAGGGTGGACAGAAGTCAGAACCTGGCAGTTATGAGTGTGGCACTCCCACGGACAAGCTTTGGCAGTGCCGTGGGTGTTGCTGGAGCCCCGTCCTCTCCTCAGTGCCCGCGGGTGCCACCTCCATGCCAGCACCTGCTCCTCCTGTGACCCTGGGAGAGGGTACTCAGTGTCATTCAGTATGGACTGGTTTGTTGTTTTCATTTTTAATTTCTCCTAAGACCTATCTAACAGTGGGCTTTATTTATTTATTTTTAGATTTTTCTGAAATGGAGTTTTGCTCTGTCTTGCAGGCTGGAGTACAGTGGTGCGACCTTGGCTCACTGTAACCTCTGCCTCCCACGTTCAAGCGATTCTCCTGTCTCAGCCTCCCAAGTAGTGGGATTACAGGTGCCCGCCACCATGCCCAGCTAATTTTTGTATTTTTAGTAGAGACGGGGGTCTCACCATGTTGGCCAGGCTGGTCTTGAACTCCTGACCTCAGGTGATCCACCTGCCATGGCCTCCCAAAGTGTTGGGATTACAGGCCACCACGCCGGCTAATTTTTGTATTTTTAATAGAGACGGGGTTTCACCATGTTGGCCAGTCTGGTCTTGAACTCCTGACCTCAGGTGATCCACCTGCCTTGGCCTCCCAAAGTGCTGGGATGACAGGCCTGAGCCACCGCGCCTGGCTAACAAACAGTGGGCTCTAAATTAATTATAGACTGGGCAGGGCAAACGTTTGGGGATCTTTACGTTTTTATTATGTCATAGACGGTAAGCGTCATGTTGTCAGAGCAGCTTCGGCGTAGGCAGTTGTAGGAATTTCATCTGTGGCCCAGAACACCATCTGCTTTGGGGAAACCTTTCTGTCTTTCTGTTGAATCACTACCTGGGTTATCTTCTGTTTAAATCAATTCCTTTAAAGTGAGATTCTGACCTAGGCTGAGGTCTAAGTGTTGCTAAACCTCCTTTAAAATGCAGTGGGCATCGGCGAGCAGGTGATGAAACCACAGGGGCTCACGCCGACTAGAAGCAGCACGGAGGACACCGTGATCCCTGCAGAGCCACAGGCGAGGCCAGTCTGGAGCCTCAGAGTCACTGCCCGGAGGACGCTCCCTGGGAGGAGTCTGCCCTGTTTGACTTGCTCCTCTGTTCTCTTCACCGCAAAGGAAGATGGAAGATGGGAACGAAGACAGGGAGCTGCGCGTTGGAAGTGGAAACTGAGTGTTTCCCTGGCGACATTGTAAGCGATGTTTCAAATGTTTCTTGTAAAGGGGAAGATGGAAGGCTGGGGTGTGCTGCTTGTTGGTCAAGTCAAGTCCCCTCCAACCCTCAAGTGTCAGGTCGGGCAGGTGGTCAGGCGGCAGCCCTGGAAGGCAGCCACCTCTGTGTGGCTCCCACCTGCTGTGTCCTGATGTTTGGGGTGTGGGGTGGGGTGGGGAGGGGGGGCAAGTTGGCCTGGGCCCTGAGACCAGGCTTGGGCCTCTGCCTCTCTGAGCATCTGGGTGAGCCGAGCCCGGGAAGGCCGTTCACAGCGGCAGTGGGCTCTGTGTAAGGTTAATACTTGGAGGGCTCATAGCACCAAGTGCGCCTTCCCCGCCGTCGCCCCGCTGATTCTCCTCCTGAGGCCTGTCCTTGCTGCTGGCGCCTCTGCTGCAAACCCGAATTCTTACGAAGCCCCTGCTGTGCACCCGGCCCTGTGTGTTGATCCTTCGCCTAGCCTACAGGGAGGAATCCTCATCCTTGGAAAGAGGGCCTGCTGAGGGAGGTGATTTGCCCAGGCCACCCCGCTGGAGGGGCAGAGCAGGGCCTGGAACCCGGGTCTGAGCTGCCTCCTTCCCACGGCAGCCGCCGGCACTGTGGAGATGGCTTCTGTGTGTGTTACCAGAATTTAATTTTTAGAGGAGACACCTTGCCCGGGCCCCCCACTGCCGAGAGGCACACACCTCATTGATGAAGTCACCGATGTCGCCTGGGTGCGGCACCATGGGCCTGATCGGGTACTGGGGCTCAGCACCCACCGGCCGCTCATCCACGCGACGCACGCCAGGGGCTTTGCTTGGCACGTGCCCCATGGCTTCCGGCTGCTGCAGCTGGCTGAGGTCGTAGTCCTGGGGGAGGGAGCCGGGAGGAGTCAGGGGCATCAGAAGAATCCGCCAGCCCCCCTTCCACCCTGCATCCTTTTCTGTCACCTGGGCCACAGATGCACCTGCTGCCCTGTGGCCTGGTCTCCAAGCATCCCACAGAACCATGCTGTCCCCTGCTGTGCCCCTCCACAATGCCCCACCTCCTTGCCCTTTACCCCAATCCCTTGGGCAGGGATAGGGGCTGTTCTTGGCTGTGTTCCATGGCCTGGGGCTCTCCCCGAGTGACCTCACCACCACGCTGCTCACCAACCACGTGCCCCGAGTGCTCAGGGGGCCAGGAGCTGGGCCTCCGCAAGGCACATGCCTCACGTTCGTTATGGTCGTGTTGCGGGAGGGGCGGGGAAGGTGGCCAGGAGCTGGGCCTCCGCAAGGCACATGCCTCACGTTCGTTATGGTCGTGTTGTGGGAGGGGCAGGGAGGGGTCTGAGCTTTAGACGGGTTTAAGGACTTGACTTGCCCCGATTCCCTGAAAGGCCAAGGGTAGACTCAGATTCCAACCACCAGCTCTCACAGTCTACCCTCCCGGGCGCCTGGTGCACTGCCCCTGGTCAGTCGACAGCCCTCTGCACACAGCAGCATCCGCGAGTGGGCATCGGTGTGCTTGGCCAACCCGGAGCCCCCTCCCCTCCAGGGCACAGGGCAGCACTGGGCTGGGGCTGGTGATGGGAGGGAAGAAGGCGAGGATGGGAGGGGTCCCAGGATCCCCCGTGGGGGATGCAGGTGCAGTGTGCACAGCTCAGCCCAGGCTAGGAAACCGTGCGCCCCTGCCTGGCACCTTCACTGGTGAAAAGGTTGAAATGTCTTACTGTTAAACCCCAGGGCAATCCCTGCTGAGACACTAGTACACGTGAGAGCCGGCCTCGCGTGGGGAGGCGGGGGCGGGCCGCAGTCTCACCTGGTCCTCCTCGCCACCGCCTTCCTCGTCATACTTGAGGATGTTGTCGCGGACGTCGTCCTCGGGGTCAATGAGCAGCTGCTTCGTGTGGCGCTCCTTCTCTCGCCGCTTCATCCACATGACAAACAGCAGGACCATGGCTGTGGGGGAGGGCTGCCCGTGAGCAGGGTGTGCTGCGGGTGTGCGCATGTGTGCCTCTGTGTTTGCCATGTGTCTATGTGGGCATGTACATGCAGGTGGCACACAAGCATGACTGTGCCCATGTGTGCATGCACACCTGTACTGCACACGCGCATGTCTCTGCACATGCAGGCCTGGATGTGCAAGGACACATCTGTGCACATGTGCGGCCCACGTGCGTGTGCATTCGTGGATGTAGGTGCTTCATGCATGTCTGTGTAAGCATGCATACGTGTATCCGCAGGAGTCGTGGATGTAGGTGCTTCATGCGTCTGTGTAAGCATGCATACGTGTATCTGCAGGAGGACGTGTGTATGAAGGCTTGCACATGCGTGTGCCTGGGTGTGAGCGTGTAGATCTGTGTGTGTGCTCGTGTGTTCATGTGTGTAGATGCACACACAAGCCTGCACAGGTCTGTGTGTGCATGTGTCCATGTGTACTTCGTGTGTCTGTGTATGCTCATGGGGCGTGAGTGCATGTGTTCATGTCCATAGTACATGTGTGCCCATGTGTCTGTGCGTGCATGCATGCCTGTGTGCGTGTGCATGAGTTTCCAAGGCACAGCCGCACTGGCTCAGGCCCTCTCCCCAGCTCACTGCCTGGGCACTGGGCTACATTTTGAGTCATTGATTTACAAGCTCGCCCTCCTCTTGCACTCCCCTTTTGAGAAGGCAGCCAGCTCAGGGTGCCTCTCACCGCCTGGGGACGGGAGGACATGGGGGGCTGAGGGGCCCACCCACAAGTCTTTCTGAGTCCCTCTTCTGAGCAGCAGGAGGGAGATGGCTTTGTCAGAGGAGGTGGAAGTGAGGTTTTAGGCACACAGTGTCTTGGTAGGAATCACTGAGAGAGGGAGATGGACTCCCCCATATTGAAAGAGGCTCTGCCCTGGGAGGATAGGGGCCCAGAGAGGGGATCCAGGGATCCTGCTTCCTGAGGGCCCCTGGGGTGGGGTCAGTCCAGGGCGTCGCTGGACAGAAGGGCAGCCCCACCCAGTACCGAGGGGGTCACTCAGAGGGGCTCTTTCCACCACTCAAAGGAATTGGGGTACAGGCTCAGAAGTTCAGGTGCATGTGGAAATTGAAGAGAGGTAAAGTCCCCTTGTGGGGTGGATGGAGGGACCCTCTCCCCCAAGCTGAACTGGATTCTTCCTGCCTTCCGAGGTCCGTGTCCAGCCCTGGCTCCCCTAAACAGCCTTGCTCACTCTGGACCCCTGGCTGCCTCTGCTGCAGGAAAAGCCTGGCGCACCCATCTGCAAAGCTCCAGGAGCAGGTAATGCAGCCCACGCCCCCAGTAAATGCCTGCACAAACCACTCCACTGCATCCTCCTGAAGCCTCCCGTCACCTCCCATGTCACAGATGTAACGACTGAGGCCCAGAATCACAGGTGCACTCTTATGTACCGCAGAGGGTGAGCCCGGAGGCGAGAGGGGCGGCGACCCCCCAGTCAGGAGGGCTGTTTTTTGCCAACCCGATTAATTGGCTGTGGCTGCCTGATGTCGTGAGGAGGATTCCGAAGCGGAGTGGAGGCTTGGGAGGAGCTCTGTGGGTATTGGCGGCATCGCCCTGCCTGCAGAGGGTGAGGTGACAGCCGGGGGACGCTTCCTGACCTGGCCCAGATCGTGGAGAGGGAAGTGCAGGCGGAGGGAGGAGCCACGCACTGCAGGTGCAGCTCCGTGAGAACCTGGAGCCTGGAGCCCGGGCCTAGTCTTGGCTCGACGGAAGCCACAAGGCCAAGAACCTTTGAAGAGGTCAGCTCCACTCTCACAGCTGGCATCCCAGGCTCATCCAGGCAGACAAGATGAGCGAGGGTTGAGAGGAGGAGTGTGGAGGAGGGGAGGCCACTCCGGGTGCCCCCCATGCACCCCACCAGGGCTGAGGTGCCCACGACTGGGCAGAAGCCGGGCAGCAGGCGGATCTGCTGTTGACCGTGGCCCCGGCCCCACTGCGGATGCCCTCCACTGCGGCTGCCCTCGAGAGTGGCCCAGGTCTCCTGCACGGGCCAGGCACTCAGCTGAATTGGGTCTCACAGCCCTGCCCACAGAGGGTGCTCTGGCTGGGGCCTGGCCCCCGGTGTTTCCAGAGCAGGGGACATCGGTGAGAATGCCTCCACCTTTGCTACAGAGACACCTCCCAACCTCTGTGGGGCTCTTTCCACTCCTGATCATACAAAGAAGCCCACGACACTGAACGGCTTTCAAAACAAGCCTCAGAAATGAAAACCGGCTTTTCAAGGGGTGATAGGTCTGGAAATGGGGAAAAAAGCAGAGTCCTCATAACTCAGACATCCTTTGGACAGGGCTCAGGTTGGTCCCTGGGGTCTCAAGTCAGCCGCAGGCCAGGTCTGCAGGAGGGGCCTGCCGCCTGTTCTGGACGTGGTGGGGGACCCTGTGGTTTGGGTGTGAACTGGGGAGGTGGTAGCCCAACCCTTCCCCGCCCTGCCTCCCACTGGGATCCCTGGGGTATCACAGACCACGGTGACTGTCCATGAGGGATGATGGGAAGAGGGACCTCTGGGGTCATTTTCAAGCACCTCCCCTGGCACCGCCCCCCCGCCAGCCCTCAGACCTGTTGGGAACCCACAGTGGTTGTGGGAAACTCAAGAAACTACTAGAGCATGTGATCTGGGCAGAGCCAGTGAGAACACTCCATTGCTTGGCTGGTGATTGGCTCCAAGGTGTGCATGTGACCCAAGCCAGTCCAATCAGAGAGTGTCCTGGGACTTTGGATGGGGACGCTAACAGGCAGGGCTGACCTTCCCTCTGCTAAGTCCACCTGGGAGCTGCCCACAGGCGTCACAGGTCCTGGAGGGCAACAGCTTCAGGACACAGGGGCTCTGGGAGGCAGAGTGGAGCCGTGGAAAGGGGCCAGGCCATGGGAGACACCTGGGCCGGCCTGCACCTCCAGACTTGAGAGTAACGGGAGGCTCCAATTTCCCATTGTCATATGGACCAGTTCAGCTGCATTTCTGAAAGGCTCCTGACAGATGAGGCTGAGAGATGAGGGCTGAGGGGCAAATCCAGGCCCCCCTCTGCCCACCATGCCTGGGACAGGGCACTCATACCCACAATGCCCCTGCCCACCCTGGTGCTCAGCCACACTCACTCAGCAGGATGAGGATGCAGATGAGGATGGCCACGATGGCACCGGTGCCCAGACCAGCCGCTGCCACTGCGCCAATGGTGGTGCAGTCCCCGTTGTCATCACATGGGCACACCTTGACTTTGATGATGGACGTGTTGGACAGGGGAGGGTTTCCAGAGTCTGTGACGATGATGGGGACGTCATACATCCCGGCCTCCAGGTACAGGATGCGCAAGCTGAGTTGGGCATAGTCACCTGGTGCAAAGCAACAGTAAACATTCAACCAGAGCCCGGCCCTCGCTTCCAAGCAAGACGTCCAAAGGAAAAGACTAAAAGTCCGATGGCATGGAAATCTGAAATGGCTGCCTGGTTACCACACATACATACATACACCTGTGCTACATCATTAAGTTAAAAGACATTGGAGGTTGGGTGTGGTGGCTCACGCTTGTAATCCCAGCACTTTGGGAGGCTGAGGTGGGCAGATCACTTGAAGTCAGGAGTTCACGACCAGCCTGGCCAACATGGCAAAACCCTGTCTCTAGTAAAAAATACAAAAATTAGCCGGGCGTGTGGTGCAAGCCTGTGATCTCAGCTACTTGGGAGCCTGAGGTGGGAGAATTGCTTGAACCTGGGAGGTGGAGTTGCAGAGCTGAGATTGTGCCACTGCACTTCTGCCTGGGCAACAGTCTCAAAAAAAAAAAAAGACATTGGAGACACAACCAAAAAGCAATTGCAACATGTAGGATGAAGAAATAATTTCCTGAATATATAAAGAGTTTTACCAAATCAATAAAAAGAAACTCCCCAAAGAAAACATAGGCAAAGTCATTGGACAGACAATTCACAGAAGAAACAAAAATGGCCAATAAATATATATAAAACATTTCCACTGGTAATCAGGATATACAAATGGAAATAATGACTTTGGCCTAAAGGTGGCAGAATAAAATATTATTTTAAAACAATAATGTTCAGTGTTGGTGGGGTTTGAGGAAACAAACAGGCACTCTCCCGATGGAAGTAGACATGTTTAGAGCACATTTTCACAGTACTGCCAAAACTTGAGAATTTTGATATCCTTTTATACCACAGATCTGCATCCAGGGAAGTATTCTAAGGAAACATATCAGTCAGGGTCCAGTCAACTGACAACCGGCACAGGAAGTTGTCATGGATGTACATGGGCAGAGCTGCAAGGATGTTCACGGCTGGCCTCATTAAAGCAGCAAGAAATTGGGAATGACTTGGTGGCCTCCTCAAGGCCAGGTGAAGGAGGCTGAGCAGCTGAAGCGTGGCCAGTGTCCCCAGCCTTGGTGGGACAGTCCTGTTGGAGGACTGTCACCCACCTCTGGTGCCCACTCTTCCAAGGCCAGCTGGGTCTCCCAGGGGCCTGCACCCCAGGCTAGTCTGACCCTCCCCGTGGCCTAAGGCGGGCTCACCGTTCAGGCGGGTGATGGTCCAGTTCTTCCGCACGGCCGCCGGGACAAAGGGCAGCTCGAAGACGTAGGGGCCGATGTTGGGGTCGACGTCAGCGTCGGCCGCCGTGATGTTGATGGCGTTCAGGTTGGGCCTCTCGCAGATCTGCGCCTCCTTGGGCAGCAGCTCAGGGGCGTTGTCGTTGATGTCAATGAGATAGATCTGGAGGGTCCCGGTGCCGCTGGCCGGGGGTATCCCTGTGGAACAGACACAGGTCACCACACGGGCCACTCCTGGTACTCCATGACCAACCCACAGCTCCACACAGGACACGCACACAAACAACCACGTGCAACATACACAGGGACACATGTGCAGACCCCCAGCCGGACACGGCCGGCCATCTCCCAACACAGCTGCACAGGGACTGACCCACAGCCCAGCCATGGCTCCTGACCGACACCCTGCCACACGCCATGGGCAGCCACACCACTGCGTACGGCACCTCAACAGACACGGCAAAGCACACGGCCACACCCACACCCGCAGCTGCACACACGCACACAGCCACTGCGCACAGCACCTCAACAGACACGGCAGAGCACACGGCCACACCCACACCTGCACACACGCACACAGCGGGGTGTGGCATTCACGTGGAAACTCACAGCCACGGAGGTCACAGCCACGCACCGGGGACTCACTCCCACTGGGGAGCCAGGGAGGGGTTCTGCGGGTGCTGGGCTCTGCACTGGCCCCTGAGGGCTGGGATCCGCCCACCACATCTTGCCCCCATCTGGGACTTCTTAGGGCAAAACCTTTCCTTGCCTCCCTGAGTTTTGCTGGCCCTGCCCAGCAGAGCCCCAGGGTGCTGGAAGCCCTGAGCCCAGACGCATGATCGCGTGGAAGAACTGCTGCTTTTGGAAGTGTCTGTGAGAAAAGCAGGCGCGGCCGCTCCAGATGAGCTTTGATGGAAGCTCCCTCCTGGCCCGGCAGGAGGTCTCCTTGGAGGACCCGATGACCTCTGGCTTCAGCATGAACGGAGGTGCTCTGCCGAGCCCCCAGAGCTCCTCAGGGGCCATCCCTGTCCCTGGGGTCTTCACATGAGCTCAGTCCTTGCCTCAGCCCAGGATGCAGGCCAGGTGGCTGGAATCTGGGGACAGAGAGATGCCCTGTCTGCTCTCCAGGCTTGGAGGCGGCGGTGGTGGCGGCATGTTCTGACTGTAGCTTTGCTCCTGATGGCAGCTCCTGACCTGACGTTAACAACCACGTGTTTTGACTGAGGCAGGCGAACCATGTAAAAATGTATCCCACGGATGTCTCTTTAATCTTCCGGAAGCTGCGTCAAAACACATTTAAGGTGACGCAGCGCGGCGCTACCTTTGAAAACTGCTTTGAGATGTAGCTGATGGCACGGCACGTGATCGGAGAAGCACAGACAGGTTCTGTTAACCGGGGGGGCTCCTGCTCCAGCCTGTGCACCCCGGCTCCCTCACACGGCGTCTGCCACGTGCGATGGACGCTCCGATGTTCCAGCTGCGGCCTCACAATCACTTTCTTTCTTTTTTTTCTTTTTTGAGATGGAGTCTCACTCTATTGCCCAGGCTTGAGTTCAATGGGGCGATCTTGGCTCACTGCAACCTCTGCCTCCCAGGTTCAAGTGATTCTCCTGCCTCAGCCTCCCGAATAGCTGGGATTACAGGCGTGCACCACCATGCCTAGCTAATTTTTGTATTTTTTTAGTAAAGACGGGGTTTCACCATGTTGGCCAGGCTGGTCTTGAACTCCTGACCTCATGATCCACCTGCCTCGGCCTCCCAAAGTGTTGGGATTACAGGTGTGAGCCACGGGGCCTGGCCCGGGCTCACAATCACTTTCTAATTTAATCTCAGGGCTTGAGCTGCGGCAGGGGACCCTCAAGGGGAGACGCTTCCCCTGACCAGAGCCCTGGGCTCACAGGCAGCTGCACAGCTGCACAGCTACACCGCCCGGGCTCTGTGGACCCTGGCAGGGGAGGCAGCGCTGGCTGGGGGAGGCTGGCAGGGGGGTGTCCACGTCCTGTCTTCACCTGCTATGGGACGAGCGTTTGCACAATGGCTACCCTTGTTCATGAGGCTTCACGCACAGCCGTTCCAAGAGCGGACCAGACACAGCCCCGCCTCAGGGCCTTTGCACACACCGTTTCCTAACTCTGTGACCCTCCTTCCCGTGCTTGCTCCTCTGGTTCCACAGCTCTTGGTCCCAAGGGCAGCTCCTCAGAGCGGAGCCCCTGGTCACTGCCTCCCAGCCGCCTGTTTTGTTTTCTCCCAGCTCTTCTTGCTGCCTGAATCATCTGCGTGGCTGGTTTCTCTCCGGTCTCCTTGGGGCAGATGCTGCTGAGTCATCCCCAATATCTATTTTCTGTTTCCTTTTAATAAAATAATCGGAGTCCTACATTTTGTCTGGGATCATCACTGTCCATCTAGAAGACCCCATTTCCCAGCGCCCCTTGCAGCTGGGGGTGGCTGCATCAGTAAGTTCTGGGCTTTGTGAGCTGTGGGTGGAGGACTTGCGTGGGGCTTTCTGAAAGTCCTTAGTAGCAGACGTGTGCCCGTGCCCTCCCTGCAAGGCCTTCTGTTTGCCAGAACATGGCTGTGACGGCTGGAGCTCCAGCAGCCATTCTGGGCCATGCCGTGGCACAGTCAGGATGCCCCAGGTCTCGGATCTCCCCCTGGGCTGCCTGCCTCCAGCCTTCTTTGACGTGAGAGAAAAAAAGCCTCAATTGTGCTGCAGTTTCCTCCATCAGTATTCACTGACCCAGGTTCCAGCCGACACACTCGGGCTGTCAGCCAAGCCACAGCAGGGCGTCACTGTGTTCCACCCACTGATGAGCAGCGGCAGGCACTCGGCCGGTACTCGGCAAACGGCAGCCCGGGCAGTCATCACGGCTGCAGCAAACAGGAGCCCATGCTGCTCTGAGCCAGGCCCTTCCTCAGTGTTCCGGTGACTCCGACTCGTTTGATTCTCAGGGGTACTAAGACTCCCCCGACTTGGCAGAGGAGGAAACTGAGGCACAGAGCGGTCACGTCTTTTCCCACTGGTAAGCGGTGGTACTGGACTGATCTTCGGTTCCAGAATCCCTGCTCCCACCCGCCCTGCCTCCATGCCTCTGAGAGCGTGCGACCCGTGGGGGGCTCGGCCAGTTCGCAGGGTTACTGCAGGTCCAGGAAGGGGTGGCTGCTTCTTGAGATGCTGGCCCATGTCCCTCAGAAAGCCCCGCGTGCTCTCAAACCTTCTTCCTGCCGTCTCTGCCCAGCCCATCCTCGCCCTCCCGTCCAGGCTCCTGAGGTCGTCTGCTGTGCCGCCTGCCCCGGGACCTTGCCACCGCCCTCTGCACTCCCAGGGCCCTGGAGGGTCTCATGCCTCCTGCTGTGACTAAGGGCCACAGGGGTCTGTGCCGTGGGTGGTCAGAGACACGAGGGCGGCACCCCCGGGGCTGCTGACCAGTGGGGCTGGGCCTTCCCCGCAGGATGGGGTCTGTGGCAAGGGCTGCCGGCTGAAAGCATTTGAAAACTGTGGACCTGATTCCAGTGCCTCAGTTTACAGGCAGCAAAACTGAGATGCATTTCAGGTTGCAGAGGGCAGCAAAGCCAAGCCTGGGATGACCAGTGCCCTGATGCCCCTGGAGGCTGTGGGTGAGTGACATTGGGGGGAAAGACCAGGCACACCTTCGAACAAGCAAGTGAATGCTGGGGAGGGGGCAGAATGAATGACTGACATGGGAGTGGGTGGAGGGGGAGCATGGCCTGGGGGCCCTGAGATGACGCAGCCCTGATCACCGGTGTCTGCACAGATGCCCCCTCAGCCCCTCTGGGTGACCCTCTGGATGCCTGCTGGCCTCTCGGGGTCTCCCTGGCCAGCACCCTCCCTCGCCCACAGAACCCAGGACACGGGAAGGCCACCGAGACGGCTGCCTCCCTGGGGTGGGCCGCACCATTGTCAGCTGCCAGGAAGGTGGCCTCGTAGACGTTGTTTTTGGTGTAGAGGGACTCACGGTCCAGCACTGCCGCCGTGGTGATCTGGCCGTTGGTGGCATTGATGTGCAGCCAGCTCGCTGGGTCTGACAGCTTTGAGTATCTGCGGAGACCACAAGTGCAGGGGGAGGTAAGGCTGGGGGTGGGCGGGGCTGCCCTGGATCCCAGGCCTCCTTGGCCACACCTCCAGGGCCTGGGCCTGGGCCAGTGTCTCTGTCTCCTTGGAGCCCCCCAGGCCTTGTCCTCCTCTAGGGCTTCCCCTCCACGTTGGACTGGCACCCTCCCCCCCGGCCCCACAACAGGACAGGCCACGCAGTGGCTACGGGCACCAAGCTCATCCAGTAGTGGGTGGTCTCAACTCACAAGGACCCTGTGGGCAGACACCCTCATTGTCCCCATCGAACGGACAAGGACGCTGAGGAGCAGAGAGGGCAGGAGGTTGCTGAGTCTTATAGCTATGAGAGTGTGGCCAGGATCGGGCCGGCCTGTGTCTAGACAGTGCTGAATGAGTAAGCACCGGTCACAACACTCACGATTGATCAGGGGCTGCATCTGGCTATCTGGGACTAAGGGGCTGCGGCTCCCTCCTGGAAGGACGCCTTAGGTTGGAGATGCCCCCGACCACCCATCTGGGGGAATTCTGGGCTGTGGGTTTCATGGGGGTATTTCTGGACCCTTCTGTATGGAACCTGGGAAGCTGCAGGCAGGGACGAGGCATGTCCTGTGCACCCACCTCACAGCCTGCTGCATGAACCGGTCAGGGTCCACAGCTGAAAACGTGGTCAGCACGGTGCCGGGGGGCACGCCCTCCTCCAGGCGGATCAGCTTGTGGTTTGAGGGGAAGTAGGGAGCCTCGTTGATGTCCATGATGGAGATGGTCACCCCTGCCGTGGACTGGAAGGACATCTGGATTCCGCTGGCCAGGGGCGCCTGGTTGGACACCATCACTGTCAGCATGAAAGCTCTGTTGAGCTCGTAGTCGACTGCCTGGAACAACAGATCAGGGCTGGGAGTGACCTGGCACAGCTCCCGTGGGAGTGGGCATGGGGGGACACATGGGAAGGTTGGTCTCCACCCCTCCCTGAGCCATGTCCAGCTCTTCTCTGCTCTGCTCTTTAGCCAGGAGGCCCCAAAGGGTCCCATCTCCCAGGCACCCTTATCTTCTGGCTTCCTGCTGGGTTTGGCCGATGGGAGGAGAGAGGGAGGAGGTCTAGGCCTCCCAGCCCCTGTCCCATGCTGGGCTGAGGCAGAAGCTGGGCTCCTCCTGGGGGGGCTGCAGCCCCCGCTGGGCGGCCCCTCTTCCTGGCCTGGTAACCCCGTCCCTACCTTCCTCCTTTGAGCCTAGTGTGGGGAAGGCTCCTGACGTTGTTGGCCAGGGGGGCCTCACCAGTTGCGGAGGGTCAGATGGTGGCCCCCAAAAGACATGTCCACCTGGGACCTGTGAATGAGCCCTTATTTGGAAATAGCGTCTTTGTACATGTAAGTTAAAGACAGAGGCCCTCATAACAGACAGGCAGGGCTGGGTGCGGTCATGCACGCCTGTAATCCCAGGGCTTCAGGACGCTAAGGTGGGAGGATCGCTTGAGCCCAGGAGTTTGAGGCTGTGGTGCACTGTGATCACACCATTGCACTCTAGCCTGGGTGACAGAGCAAGGCTCTCCAAAATTTCAAAACAGAGAGAAAGGGAGAGGGATATTTGAGACACACAGGTGCAGGGAGGAGCCATGTGGCGACAGAGGTGCAGTCTGGAGTGAGGCAGCTACAGGCCAAGAAACGGGAGAGAGGCAGGCAGTGGGTTCTCCTCTACAACCTCCTAAGCGAGACCGTTCCTGCCGGCACCTTGATTTTATGTCTCTGACTCGCAGAGCTGGAACAGAAGACAGTTCTATTGTTGTAACCCACCTGGTTTGTGGTAACTTGTAACCGCAGCCCCGGACAGAACCATGCCAGGTCTGCAGTTCCCATCACTGCTGCACTTGGCCCCTGCATTCACACAATTCTTTGGTGCCCTTCTGGTGCACCAGGACCCTGGCTGATAAACGCTAGAGCTACGGTTCTGCAGTGATGCTGTATTATCAGAAAAGCTTCGCTCAAGCCTTTCCTACACATTTTGGGGAGGGAGGGAAGTTACATGGAAAAAGCTTGGGGCCCTGAGACGTTCAATGGCAAAGCTTGCAACAGTTTCACTGGAAAAAAACACAACACATTGTGTCTCAATTGCATTAAAATATTCTGCTTAGATACGTGCAAAGTAACATATGCATAAGAGTATTCATTGCGTAGTATCTGTCGAGACAATATGCTGGAAACGACCCAAACATCCATCAGCAATGGTGGGCTGCACAGCCTGCAGTACATCTGCATGGGGAGACACTTGCAGCCGTAAAGAGGAAAGAGAACACCCTCTGTGTACTGAAGAGGAGAGCTTTCCAGGATCTACTGGTGGGCAAAAAAGCAACCCACATAGTGTGCACCTTTTGTGCAAAAGAGAGAGAAAAATATGATTTGTATATGTATTTGCTCATATTTGCAGAAAGAAACATCGTGAGGATAAACCAAAAACTAATAAAAATGATCATCGTTATCAGAGGGAAGGAATGGGGTCAGGGTCACAGCTGGGAGTGTGAGTTTGTGAGTTTGCTCTCTATTTCTTATCATAGAGCTTTGATTTTTTTTTTTTTTTTTTTGACAGAGTCTTCCTCCATTGCCCAGGCTGGAGTGCAGTGGCATGATCTCGGCTCACTGCAACCTCTGCCTCCTGGCTTCAAGTGATTCTCCTGCCTCAGCCTCCCCAGTAGCTGGGATTACAGGTGCCCGCCACCATGCCTGGCTAATTTTTATATTTTTAGTAGAGACGAGGTTTCACTATGTTGACCAGGCTGGTCTTGAACTTCTGACCTCAGGTGATCCGCCTGCCTCGGCCTCCCAAAGTGCTGGGATGACAGGCGTGGGCCACTGCACCCTGCCCAAAATGTGCTTTTGAGGGTGATGCATTCTGACAGATTTAGGTGCGGAGGATCATGAGGTCTGGTAATTAAAAAAACGTACTCCTGCAAAAAGTGCAGATTGCCACGCAGCAGCGTGCCTATCACTGTGAGATTTACACAACACCATGCTTCCATGCAATCACCATGACACCACGCTTCCATGCAATCACTGTGACACCACGCTTCCACGCAATCACCATGACACCATGCTTCCATGCAATTACTGTGACACAGTGCTTCCATGCAATCACCACGACACCACGCTTCCATGCAATCACTGTGACACCACGCTTCCATGCAATCATGACACCACGCTTCCACACAATCACCGTGACACCACGCTTCCATGCAATTACTGTGACACAATGCTTCCATGCAATCACGACACCACGCTTCCACGCAATCACCATGACACGCTTCCATGCAATTACTGTGACACAACGCTTCCATGCAATCACGACACCACACTTCCACGCAATCACCATGACATGCTTCCATGCAATTACTGTGACACCATGCTTCCATGCAATCACCACGACACCACGCTTCCATGCAATCACCATGACACCACACTTCCATGCAATTACTGTGACACCATGCTTCCATGTAATCACACCACGTTTCCATGCAATCACGACACCACGCTTCCACGCAATCACCATGATACCACGCTTCCATGCAATTACTGTGACACCATGCTTCCATGCAATCACCCACCACGGCCCCTCACCGTGACACCATGCTTCCACGCAGTCACCATGACACCACGCTTCCACGCAGTCACTGTGACGCCATGCTTCCATGCAATCACAAAACCACGCTTCCACGCAATCACCGTGACACGCTTCCAATCACGACACACTTCCAATCACCATGACACCATGCTTCCAGACAATCACGATACCATGCTTCCACACAATCACAACATGCTTCCATGCAATCACCGCAACACCACGCTTCCGATCACGATACCACGCTTCCACACAATCACAACACGCTTCCACGCAATCACCGTGACACCACGCTTCCACACAATCACCGTGACACCACGCTTCCACACAATCACTGCGATATCACGCTTCCACACAATCACAACACGCTTCCATGCAATCAGCGTGACACCACACTTCCAATCACGATACCACGCTTCCACACAATCACAACACGCTTCCACGCAATCACCGTGACATCACACTTCCACACAATCACGACATGCTTCCACACAATCACGACACCATGCTTCCACACAATCACGATACCACGCTTCCACACAATCACAACATGCTTCCACGCAATCACTGCGACACCACGCTTCCACACAATCGCCGCGATACCACGCTTCCACAATCACGATACCATGCTTCCACACAATCACACCACGCTTCCACACAATCACAACATGCTTCCACGCAATCACCGTGACACCACGCTTCCACACAATCACGATACCATGCTTCCACACAATCACGACACGCTTCCACGCAATCACTGTGACACCACACTTCCATGCAATCACCGCGATACCACGCTTCCACACAATCACAACACGCTTCCACGCAATCACCGTGACACCACGCTTCCACATAATCACACGCTTCCATGCAATCACGACACACTTCCACACAATCACAACACGCTTCCATGCAATCACCGCGACACCACGCTTCCACGCAACCATGACATGCTTCCACGCAATCATCATGACACAGCGCTTCCACGCAATTATGCAGGTTCCTCCTACTTCTAGGAATGCCTGGAAACTTTCATGATAAACAGTGTAAGACATTTCCACTTAGAGAGGAACTTATCTGCTGGAGGAATCAATCAGCTTTCCCCAAGAAGCATGAGGGCACCATGTCCCGCCACTGATGTGATGTCCCCACGTTCCCACCCCTCGTGAACCACCTGCAGGCAGGCAGGCCAGGCACTGTCTACAGTGGAGCGGAAAAGGCCAGTTTGTGGCTTTGGAGCTTCATAAGCTGAGGGCCTCAGGTGAGACAGGAAGGAACCTGGGGTGTTCCACCCACAAGGTGCTGTTTTGAACCCCACTCCCCATGCTTGGGGCCGGCAGTGAAGCACCTGAGTCTGAACAGATCCAACTCCACCCCATCTCCGGGGCCACCACAGCCTCTCAGGGCCTGATCTTTCCAAGCAGGAACAACCACATAATCTGGTATGTCACACTCAGGACTTCTCGGCACTGCTACTGAATAAGATATTTCAGTACAAAAAGAAGAAATTTAAAAATCACATCAATAAGGCCAGGTGCGGTGGCTCATGCCTGTAATCCCAACACTTTGAAAAGCTGAGGCAGGAGGATCACTTGAGCCTAGGAGTTCGAGAGCAGCCTGGTCAACATAGTGAGATGCTGTCTCTACAAAACAAAAAGAAATTAGTTGAGCGTGGTAGCACACACCTGTAGTCCCAGCTACCCAGGAGGCTGAAGTGGGAAGACTGCTTGAGCCTGGGAGGTCAAGGCTGCAGTGAGCAGTGATCGTACCACTGCACTTCAGCCTGGGCAACAGAGTAAGACCTCGTCTCAAAAAATAAAATTGCCTAAATAATAGTATTGGATGGGCATGGAAGGAAAACTGAGACGGTGGCTCCTGGAAGCCCATGACTGCCTCCAGGAGGGTCTGCAGGGAGTGGCAGAGATCACAGTTCTGGTCCTGGGTCCCCACGGTCCCTGCACTGCCCCTGGGGGTGACACGCAGTCACTGCAATACCACGCTTCCACGCAATCACCGCGACACCACGCTTAGGTGAGCCCTCATCCTCCCCAGGGGTGGTCTCCTTGTCCCTCTGAAGGAAGGGGTGGTCCCTGCTAGCCTCCCTGAGTCCTGAGTGAGATGCCTCGTGGCTCCCTGATGCACGCTGTCACCTCTCACTGCGTTGGTTCATGACCCCCACCCTGACTCTGCCACCCCTGGGGCAGGGGCTGTGCCCTGTACCTCCGCCTCCCCAGCGTCCAGCACAGCGCCAGTGTGGTTCATCTGTGCCCCATAGGTGCCTGGGGGATATAGGGAGTGGGCACCCCCTTGTTCACCACCACTGCCCAGGCCCATCTTGGGGTTGTGTGTGCCACACAGGGGCCTCACACCTGCAGCTGTCACCCTGCAGAACCTTCCACAGCCCAAGCTGACTGCAAGCCTGAAGGGACGCCTGATCCAGAATAACCCAGCACACTCCTCTGAAAGGTTCTACCAGGGGTCTCAGGTACCCCCAAGTCTGGCCTTGGTCCCTCTGTCTCTGGACTCCAGATGCCTCCAAGCTCCCAGCACCTGCCTGCACCCACATCGTGTTGGGGTCCCCCCCAGAGCTGTCCATGCCAACGCCTGCAGCTGCCCCCCCAGGCCCTCCAGCAGCTGGCTGGGACGGGGCCACTCATGTGGCTAGACTGTTTCATCACGTCGTGGTAGCGCTATGAACAAGCCCCTGAGGGAAGTGGTCTTTCTCCCATATTTATTGGCTCATGTTCCCGGGGACATGGAATAATGCTGCATGTCATGCGTTAAAAAATCGTGTCACCAGCCTGAGCAAGGAGGCCTTCCAGAAAGATGATTATGGCCAATAAAAGCCCACAGGAAGATAAAATAAAACACATTTGTAATGGAGAAATCAATAGGTAATTTGCTCCAGCAGTTTCGATTAGGGTGGCTGGATATACTCGCTGAGGCTCAGCATGGCTGCCGCCCACACGTGGCCATGACCCTTCACTCAGAGGTGAGCAGCTGGGCGTGTGCCTGAGCAGCAGCTCCAGCACCGGCTGGGCGGAGTGGGCAGGACCAGGTGGGGACACACCAGGACGTCTGCCCTGCTCCCCTCCGATGGGAGGCTCAGGAGCTTCCATTCAAAGTCTCACTCTGCGCCCCTGTCTTGGGGAGGAGTTGCCTGAACTGACCCCATCACTGACCTGCTCTCCCTGGAATTCCCACCTGCGAGCCTCCCACAGGAAGGCCAGCTCTGTTGCTGCCCGAAGGGGAAGTGGCAGAGGCCGGTTCTTGGCTTTTTAGCTTTAAAACTGAGGGCCATGGGTAAGACGAGAAAGAACCTGGGATGAGCCTGGACCTGGGCCTTGCTCCTTCAAGATAAGATTTCACAACTGGAGGAGGGAGACAAGAGGCCGTGCTGGGCCCTGAGGAGGGTATGATGGTAACAGATGGTATTTGGGTTTGGGGACCTGAGAGCGGAGAAGCTGTGTGCCCACCTCAGGTAGAGCCTGGGAGGTGGCAAGGCGCATTCCTCATCCCCGGCTGGTATGGCTAGGGAGATGGAATTGGGAGTGTGGGGCAGGACAGATCTGGATGACGTGCCCGAGATGCCTGTGGACTTCTTTTGACAGTGGCCGAGCTGGACCGCAGAAGTGAAGGATGATGCAGCCAGGATTTGGGTGACTGATGGCTGAGAACAGAGGTGACCAAACACCTCTGACAGTTGCCCAGGAGTGCTCTCCTTCCCTGCACAGGGCACTGCATCAGCCCAGAGCATAGACACAACTGTGTGAAAAGGGAGGCAGAAGAGATGCCAGTCTACCACTTACCACCACCTGGGGGGACCCAGCTAGAAACAGAAGCTAAGTCGGTTTAGAGAAGGAAAGAGCACACTGCTGCATTGCTGGATTTGGGGCTTCCAGTGTGTACCTGACAAAATATTTCACTGATTCCTCCTCACCATCCCCTCTGCAGACTATAAACTACTGAAGGTTGGGAGCAGTGACCTGGTCAGGTCTGCAGTGTACATACATGATATGGTGCCTGCTCTTCTGAGGGACTCAGGGGACCCTTCATGGAATTAAAGTAACCTTCATGCTCTGGGGAACTAAGCAGGGAGAATGATCAGGAGCCTCTCCCCAGCTCGGGACAGCAGTGACAATGAAGACGATGAGGATGATGATGATGATAACGAGAATGGTTATGATGACGACAGCAGCTAATACCATTGATTCAGTCCTTACCTTGTGCCGGGCACTGTGCCAAATCATTTATATCCAGGGTCTATTTCAGTGTGAGTCATAAGCCTCTGGGCATAGGCCCCACAATTTGCATCATTTTATGTTTGAGGTAACTGAGGCACAGAGAGATTAAGTGGCTGGTCCATGCCAGGGGTAAGTGAGCAAAGAGCTAGCGTGGGAATCTAAGAACAGATGCCCTCAAGATACTGGACATCTCCTGTGGGCTGGGCCATGGGGTCCCTGCACTGGCCTTCTACCTCCCACACCACCCGCCACTCCCCAACCCCTCCCCTCCACCCCACTCCCCTGCTCCGAAAGAGAATGCCTGAAAAGACGACGTCTCTACCAAAGAATGCAAAACCAATTTTGGAAATGTTTTCTAAGGCGAAGCATCCCCAGACTAAATACACACCTTAAACAGATTCTAAATTGAAACTTCAGAGAAAAGCACTATATGGAGTAAGAACAAAAATGAAAGAAAAAAGAAAAAGTGTGGTTCTCCTGTTGAATTCTACCTAGGACACAATGACCCATGACTCTTTGGGGACAGTGTGGCTGCAAGTCTGTGCTCTCAGCTCCTCAAATTTTAAAATTTATTTGAAAATTGACATGCAGTAAGAGTCACTCTCAGGAATGTTAACAAGTGTACGGAAGCACGGCCAGCCCCACGGCCAAGGTGCAGGAGAGTCCCGTCTCCTCCACGCTTCTCTCATGCTGTGCCTTTGCAGTCCCTTCCTCTCCACCCACCAGCAAAGCATTGAAGGGTTTTCTGTCCCCACAGTTTTGTCTTTTCCGGGATGTTCTGCAGATGGGGGCATGCAACAGGCCACCTTTTGGTTCTGACTCATCTCACTTAGTGTGATGCACTGGAGACCCATCGCGTGTCACATGGATCTCCCGTTTGTTCCTTTTGACGGCTGAGCAGCTTCCCATTATAGGACTTGGGCTTACAGCTGGGGAGAGGCATCATGGGGTCTCAGGGCCCCTGGGCTGGGGACCGTCAGCTGGGTCAGAGTTTCATGCTGCCTCAGGAGGCCTTGGACCCCTCCTCAAGCCTCCGTGTCCCCTCCTCATGGCACTAGGAAGGTTTCAGGCTGGTCAGACGGTACCATCTGGCCTTGCCAGGATGCCCTGGAAGAGGACTGGTTTCTGAGCAGACACAGCCCAGCCAGCCCTCAGCCTCGGCCTCAAACCTGTGGAACGTTGTCCTGAACACACACAGACACCTTGGCTCAGTCAGATAGGCAGGGCCAGCGAGGAACCTGGACGGTTAACAGATGGCTTTATGGCAGAGGTAGCAGGTTCCAGCCCCAGCTTGTACAGTCCCCACTGTGTGATCCTGTGTGTGGGCTCCCAGTTATGCCATCTGTGAAATGGGACAAGAATAGCACCTCCTTGGTGGGCGTGAGGACCAAGTGAGATGGGGGTGAGGATGGCACACCTGGTATCGGTGCCCAACGTCACTGTAGCTGATCACATTGGGGCCTGGCCTGAGGCTCCCTGGGAGTTTCAGGGTGCTGGAGATCTGGAGAAGTGCAGAAATAGGGACGGCACTAGTTCTCTAGGTCATGAAGACTTGAGCCAGCTGCAGCCCTCCAGGCACATGCAGCAGGCAGTGCTGTAGGAACTTGGTTTGCTCCTCCTTGTGCCCAGTGGGGAAGACGGCAGCTGTGAAAAGGTAAAATGCACCCCAAGCCCCAAATCTGAAAATCTGCAGATTTTCACATCTGGGTTTCTGCTGGTGGGTGCCAGCCCGCCTGTGGGTGTGGAGTGGCAGCACCTTTCTAGTTTCTGTTGCTCTGGTGGGAGATGCGGGGTACCAGGCAGGGGCTATGTTTGTTCCCCTGAGCATGGCAGGTCTCCAAGCCTCCCAGGCCTGAGGGATGGGGCCTGCAAGATCTGAGTCGATTCCAGGGTTATTCTGCTGAGGCTGAGCCCGCACCGATCTCCGTTGATTCCAGGGTTATTCTGCCGAGGCTGAGCCCGCACCCGGGAAGAAGAAGCACAAGTCCCAGTGGGATCTGTGTCCTGTGCTTTTCCCAAAGAGGGTTTTGAGGACTTCAATATTTAAAGAGGAAAGAGCAGACAGGAGAGGGAGGAGGAAAGGAGAAAAAAGCGGGGGCCGGGTAGGCAATGAGACAGTGGCTACATCCTTGCGAGGCTCTGCTTAGTGCTCAGTGGATCCACGTTTCACAGAAGCCGGGGTAGGTGTGTGAAGCCCCAGCTACCTGTGTGGCCACAGAAGGGAGGCAGCACCGTGAGACTCAGTCCCCATGCTCCACTTCCCTTGGCATAGTGGGTTTGGGGTCCTGAGGTTTCATCTTCCTTTCACAGGCCCCTCAATGGCCTCAGTGCCACTGATGTTGACTGGCTGTGGGGGGGCAGGAGGCACAGGTGGTGGGGAGATTTTAGCTACGAACGTGGCTCGCAGGCAGCACTCATCAACATCCTGAGAACCAGCGTTCTGTAGACATGCTTCGGGAAACCCCATTCTCACCACGTAGACAGAGGCCTGACAAGGAGAGGGTGGAGCTGGACAGGAGACCCTGATGGCTAGGGGAAGGGACGTGGCACAAACTCAGCAGAGGGTGGCCCGCTGCCAAGCTGTCACATGGCAATAGGTCAGTGAATGTGCCCGGCTGTGCCCACCTGGCTGCTGTCAGCACCTCCTCTCTGCCTCCAAAATTCATGCCCCACCCACCTGCCAGCCAGGGCCTTCCTGCTGTGAGGATATGGCTGCCAAGCAGCTGAGCCCTGGAGGAGTTACTCTCCCAGCGGCCTTCTCAGGAGCATCCCCAGCTGGAGGAAGAACCGGAAGGGGATGATTTCCCATCTCAGGAATCAGTTCCCGGGGTGGCGGTGCCCAGGCCCTCCTGGGACCCTCAGTCCATGCCCCACAGTCTAGTCTGTGCTATATGCTTGGAACCAGTGGCTCCTCTCTGAAGAACAGAAGAGGGCTCCGTGGGCCTGCCAAGGGGCTCCGTGGGCCTGCTGAGGGCCTGGCCCAGTGCCACGAGGCCCATGCAGTCCCAAGACACTGGCGCTTCCCTGAAGTTGGCTGTGCTCTTCCACTTTCCGTGGCTGTGATGCTCCGCGCAGATAGGGCCAGGCAGGCACATGACGGCTGAGGCCACCAGCCCCTGGGCTGGGCAGGAAGCCACCTTCCCTGGAGTCCTTAGGGGTCAGGCTTTCCCCACCACATCGAGCCAGCCTTCTTCCTTGGTACCGGCCCTTTCTGATCTATGTTGGGCTGATGAAGGTGGCGGGGCTGTGTGTGCTCCAGCTACAGAAGTGGCCCTCCAAGGGCAGGGGAGGTGAGACAGGTGCTGATCTCCTGGGGCCGGGGGCTGCCCGTTGTGCTCCCCGTGAAGGCCACAGAATCCGAGCTGTGGGAGTCAGAGATACCTCCTTGGAATCACAAGCAGGAGATGGGCCGAGGCTCGCTACTCACTGGGGAAGGCCCCAGCCAGCTCTGGGCTCACGGCTCACTCCTCTCCTCTGCCTGCATGTCACATCCAGTCTCCATCACCTTCCCATGAGCAACGTTGCCAGCAAAGCAGCTGACGATTCACCTTGTGGGTTTCTAGAGGCCAGAGCTAGAATGTTAGCTTGAGGTCAAATGCGCCCAGAGAAAAGGAGAAAGGGTTTGCCACATCCTTCCTCACCATGCCCAGTCCCTGCGCACACAGATCTGACTTTGCCACTGGGGGGCCGGCTGTGCTAATACCTCACTCTGAAAATTCATAATTAGAGGGGAAGTGAAACGTGTATTTTGCCTCTTCTCTAAGAACTATCTTTTACGGTGAAAAAATAGCCTCTCTTGAAGAAGAAAGCTTATACAGAGTTAGGGCTGGAATGCTGTGACATGCTAATTTACTTTCAAACATATCAGCCAAAATAAAAAGATTTAGTAAATGTAGCACAATGTTAATTAAATCTAGGTGATGGGTATACGGAAGTTCATTTCACTATTATTTCTGCTTGTGTGTATGTTTGAATATTTCATAAAATAAAAATGATGAAGAATTTATAAGATTTTTCAGGAGAACTGGTCTTCACTAGCTTGCTTACAAAAGAGGTTATTAAGAAAAGGAAAAAGATGACTTTGGGGTGTTGAGAAAAGACACAGATCCTGGAGAAAGCCTATTTTCTTCCCCTGTGATCTCCTAACATCTAGCTCCCCTCTTCCTTAGGAGAAGTTTGGGATATGTTTCCATAATTATGTTATGCAGTGTCTTCTCTGGCTAAGAATGGCCATGTGACTAAACTCTGCCCCAGAAGATGTGAACAGGTGTTCTGGGAAGGTCCCTTAATAAAGGAGGGGTGAGCCATTCTTCCCCCCTTTTTGATTTCCTACCGCCTGTAAAAGTCTCGTAATGGCTGGTGCTCTAGTAGCCATTTTGGACCACGAGGGGCCCTAGAAGCTGAAAGGTGTGCACAGCAGAGCAGAGGATAGAAGCAGCCAGGGTTTCTGTTGATTGTGCAGCTGTGACATTGGCCCCAACTGCCCACCTCAGACTCCTCTCACGTGAGAGAATACAACTCTCGAGTATTTAAATTTCTGTGGTTAAGTCTCTGCTCCGGGCTGCTGAAGGAAATTTCTAAATGATCCAACTCAAAATGAAACTTGCTTTTCCTTACGCTTTGGCATATCCTATCCAGCTTTAAGCTCACCTTGCTTTTCCTTACGCTTCGGCATATCCTATCCAGCTTTAAGCTCACCTTGCTTTTCCTTACGCTTCGGCATATCCTATCCAGCTTTAAGCTCACCTTGCTTTTCCTTATGCTTCGGCATATCCTATCCAGCTTTAAGCTCATCTTGCTTTTCCTTATGCTTTGGCATATCCTATCCAGCTTTAAGCTCATCTTGCTTTTCCTTACGCTTCGGCAGATCCTACCCAGCTTTAAGCTCACCATTCTGTCACCCCTCCTTTTCTCTAAAAATGCCCAATGTGCTCTTGCTCTTTTCTTCTTAGTCCTATTCAAAATTGTTTTGGGACAATAGCTGCTAAACTTCTTCACACTAAGTTGTAAACGATTGCTAAGTGTTATGATATAATTCCCAATCTGCCCTTCCAGGGGAATATGAATTATGAGTGTAGAAAAAGAGTTAGATTAGAAGACTGAATCACTACTACTATAATGATAGGCCTTTATAAGTAAATTTGAAAATTTAGATTAAATGGACACTTTTCTAGAAGAACATATCTGACCAAAACCATCAAAGAAATTGAACCAGTAGTTACAAACCGATCTCTCTCCAAAACAAAAAGAAGCACGACCAAAAAGACAAAATCTACAGCTACTCAATGGCTTCACAGCACAGTGTGACGAAACATTCAGGGGACAGATTATTACAGCATCATAAGACCTGTCTCTGGGACAGAAAAACTCTTGAGATTAGTCTGTAACCTTGATACCAAAACCCAGATGAGGACGCTATAGGCCTAAATCACCCAGAAAAGTACATGAAAAACTTCAAATATCAGCAAAACAAATTCTTCAATGTGTTACAAAATATTACCTCACTACTCAGTGGGATCTGTCTCAGGAATGCAAAGATGGTTTAACATTAGGAATTCTAATAATGAAATTCGCCCATTACTAGATTAGGGGGTGGGAGTGAATATATAGACATTGAAAAGGGAATGGGAGGGTATTTTTGGGGGGTCTGCCAAGCCCCTGAAGGTCACATGACAGGTCCTTGTGAAGGTTGTGTCTGCCTCCAGCAGGTTGGGTTACCTGCCTCTACCCTTGGATATTAGGGGGGCAGTAACTTTACACCGAGTATCACTCCTGTTTGACTGGTCCTAGGGAGTGTGCAGGTGGCAGAACTTGGGGTGCCTGGCAGGGTGTGAGAAGAGTACGCACCTTCACCACGGTGACCATGCCCTCGTTGGTTACGGGGTCTGTGCGGACGCTGAAGTGCCCGGATGGATCCCCACTGATGATGCGGTAAACGGCATTCCAGTTTGGAGAGTGGGGCTGATCTCGGTCCATCACCGTGAGGTTTGCGACCACGGTCTCCACGCGGTTTTCGGGGACCTCCCCTGCAAACTGCAAAATGGAAGGAAAGAATGTCACAAACCCGTGTTAAGTGTAAATATGCACAGAGAAGTGCACGTAGCATATGTGCAGCTCAACGAGTGTTCACAAACAGAACACACCGTGTCAGCCCAGCTCGAGTGTTCACAAACAGAACACACCGTGTCAGCCCAGCTCAACGAGTGTTCACAAACAGAACACAACGTGTCGGCCCAGCTCAAGGAGTGTTCACAAACAGAACACACCATGTCAGCCCAGCTCAAGGAGTGTTCACAAACAGAGCACACCGTGTCAGCCCAGCTCAACGAGTGTTCACAAACAGAACACACCGTGTCAGCCACGCCCAGATCAGGAATCAGAGAAGACAGGCTGCTCAGGGGTGCACGGGAGTGCACGCCTCATAGCACGGCTGCCGGGGCCCCACTGAAGCAGGCGTGCAGACCTGCCCGGCAGGTGCGTCAGCCCTGCAGCCACGGCAGAGGGCCACTGATGGAGCGGCTTCAACAATGGGCACTTCTTTTCATTCCCAGTCCCCACCCCAGACCCCTTCCAGGTCCCAAAGTTTCCACCTGTACTGGTTGAATGGTGTCCCCGAAGATATGGCCACATCTCAATCCTTGGAGCTAGAAATGCCACCTTGTAGGAAGAAAAGGTGCTGGAGGTAAGAATTCTGAGCTGGGGAGATTTTTCTGGATTATCCAGGTGGGAGCTAAATGCTACCATGTGCATCTTCAGAAGAGGGAGGCAGAGGGGATTTCACAAAGAAGAGAAGACGCAGACATATTCAGAAGGGGAGGCCGTGGGAGATGGGGGCAGAGACTAGAGTGATGCCACCACAAGCCCAGGAACACCAGGGTGGCCAGCAGAACCCGGAAGAGGCAGGAAGGGTTCTCCCTGGAGTCTTTAGAGGGAGCAAGACCCTGGTGATTTCCAACTGACAGAATAAATTCCTGTTGTTTCAAGCCCCTAGTTTGTGGCCATTTGTTGCAGGAACCTTGCAAGCTCATGCTGACTTCTGGCGTCACAGATGAGTTGACCTGGGTTTTTTCTTTACATGGGCGGAACCTTCCAGCACTTGTGTCTGGCTTCTGCTGGGCACTGTGGCTCTGGGATTCCTTTGTGTTGCTGCGTGCAGCTGAGATGGCTGAGCAGCGCTCTGTGATGTGACGGTGCTGTGATCAGGTACCCTTCCTCCCAGGACGGGCGCTGGAGCATCAGGACAGGGCTGCTGTGCACATCTGCAGGCAGCTCTGCTCCCCTTCCACCGGGAGTGTCCCCGGGTGGGAAGCCCCTGTGTCCTGGCATGAGGCACTGTTAGGGGCAGAATGTTGTGTCCTGGAGTTTCTGTGTGGAAGCCCTAAACCCCCAAGGCCTCAGAGTGTGACTGTATTTGGAGATGGGACTTTTAAAGAGGTGACCAAGTTAAAACAAGGCCGTTAGGGTGTCTGGGGAATTACCCAGGCCACCTTCACACCTGCCCTCAGCCAGGAGTCACGGAGAAGCCCTCAGGTGCAGCAAACAGAAACTTGCACTGGGGTGACCTGAACCCAGGAGCCTGACCTTCCAGGGCTGCAGGTGGCTGGGCCCGTTGGGACGGGGCTTTGTCCTTCCCCGGCCTCCCATGGTCAGGACCCTGCAGCTCGGCCTGGCCCTCTGGCTGCCTGAGAAGCACAGCTGTCCCTTCGGTAAGAAAGAGTCTTCCCGGAGTGCCCCTCCCCAGCTGACTTGTGCTGACACTCCCGTTGGACAGGGCGATGTCCCACGGCCACCACAAGCCCAAAGAAGGGAGCCTTGTGAGGTGGGAAACGGAGAAGGGGTGGGAAACGGGCGTCGGGCGGCCAGCAGACCGCGTCTGCCACAGGCAGGTCCTGCAAGGACAGAGAAGCACACAGAGGCCCCGAGGCAGCGGTTCTGGGCCCAGAATCTCAGAGCCGGTGTGAGAGGAGGCTGTGAGATGGCGCAGATTCACCCGACCCACCCGCGCCCCTTCCGTGCATCTGTCATGAGCGTGGAGGCCCCATTAGACCAGTGGACAAAGACATCAGGTGAACAGGGTCCGGGGAAATACAGATGGCGACTGTCCCTGCTGGCCCAATCAATGAATGAAGGAATGAGTGATAGCCTTCATATAAATGCACAAAAATGAAATACGCTGGTCCCCTTTCCCAGGCAGGAGCCGAGTCAGCATTCCTAAAAAGGACGGCGACGCGACAGAAGAATTCAGAGCCCACACCAACGGGCTGCCTTGTCAAGGATGGAAAAATATTCCAATTTAATCCCAGACAAACACTGCGTCCTTTCTCTGTATTTCAAAAGCTCAGAGAAAGTCCTTTAATCAGCCTCCTCGACCTGGGGCTCTAAGCTGGGCTGAAAACCCCGCAGCCCGGCCCAGCTCTGGGTCTGGTAGGAAGGGCCCTGCCTGTCACGTTTAGGTCCAAGCATTCACATCCCGATACAATCAGCTTGTTAGGAAGAAAAATTGTGGATTTATCCAAAGTGGGATCTCAGCCCTGTCTGTGGAGCAGGAGCCCTTCCTCACACGATGGCCACGCTCAGCCACAGATCTCATCTGAGGATTGGGAGGAACCGTCTTTGCTAAACTCCAGAGTGGACAGCTACCGCCCCCACCACTCCCGATGTCTAGTGTGGGACGGAATCTCCCAGCTGTCTCTGTTCCTGAGCCAGGTGGCCAGAGCCCGGAACCTGCAGCTGGGTACCCGGGGAGGCCTGGAGACGCTGACCTGGCCCTAGAGGAGGGAGCTTCGGGACTCACTCTGTCTTCCCTTCATCACACGTTTTGAGCCGCCCAGGAGTCAGATCGTCCCCCAGCAGGACAAGGAGCTGGCGCCGCCGTGGGACACACTGGGCCCTGCACTGCAAGGCATCATGGCATGGGGGATGGTGCCTACTGGGGGATAGCAGGGGCGACTCAGGCCATGGTTGGAGATCCATATGTTCTGGGGGTGAGAACATGCCTGAGAGTGAGGTACAGGGAGCTGCCTGCCTGATCTCAGCCCTGCAGTCCTTGGGTGTGAGAGGACAGCCCTTGCTGAGGCTGTGGCCACACGGGATCCTGGGCGGCCAGGCCCCGGGCAGAGGACCACTGCAGGGGGACATTCAAGGAAGCTTCGCTGAGGCCTGTGAACAAGTTCCAGAAGGGCCGGGGAATGGGCGGGAGGGGCAGCCCTCCTCAGCCAGGTCCGTGTTGCTGTGAGTCTAGGAGCTGACCTGGTGCCCGGGGGGGCCTGGGGGTGGGACAGAGCTGTGAGGTGGAGGTGATAGTCCCCCTGGTGTCCTCAGGGGAGGTGGTAGCTGGGTCACATTATACACTCCCTGCTTGGACCATCTCCAGGCAGAGGTGGTGGTGGGAGGGCCTCAGGGTTGGGGGAGCTTTGCAGACCTGGAGCAGGGAGGAGGGTGGCCTGCCCCATCGTCAGTGAGGCAGGCAGGTGACCCCTGCAGTGGCTGGTGGAGGACTCAAGGCCAGTGAGCTCCCCTGACCCCGGAGATCTGAGTTGCAAAATGTCCTGGGTGCCAGGACCCTGAGCCCTCTCCAGAGATGCCATGAACACACAGACGCTGCTCTGGCCAGGCCCCACAGCACACACCACTGGTCTCTGACACCTGACCCCGGGCCATTCCCTCTGCTGGGGACACCGTCTTGCCCCAAAGCAGCCTGCCAGGGCCCACAGCACACACTGCTGGGCTCTGACACCTGGCCCCGGGCCATTCCCTCTGCTGGGGACACCGTCTTGCCCCAAAGCAGCCTGCCAGGGCCCCGTAGCACACACTGCTGGGCTCTGACACCTGGCTCAGGGCCACTCCCTCCGCTGGGGACACTGCCTTGCCCCCAAAGCAGCCTGCCTGAATCTTAGGGCGCTTCTCCTTCCTTGAGTGAAAACCTGCTGGCCTCCCCCGGGAGCCACTTGGCAGCCCTCTGTAGCTTCTGGCCTTCAGGCCTCTGTGGGAGGGTTGAGCAGGACCATGCCGCTCCGGTCCTGCGGCCATGTCACCCCAAGTTTCCTTAAGGGCTTGGTGGGATGAAGGGCTCTGGTCAGCTTGGTCTAGTGTGGTGTTGGCCCGAGGCCTGTTTTTATAAATAAAGTTTTATTGACACCCAGCCACACCCCATTCATTTACATATCACCCGTGGCTGCTTTCCTGCCCCAACAGTGGCATTGAGTCGCAGTAACAGAGACAGCCTGACCATAGATGAAAATACTATCTGGTCCTTCACTGAAAATGCTTCAGATCCTTGTTCTCCACCCCTGAGGCCCCCGCCTCAATAACTGGTTTGAAATAGGCTAATGACCTAAGTCAGCCAATTAGGGGTCAGTTCTGGCGGCCCCTGCGTCTGGCCTGGGCATGGTAACCACGTGAATCTGAAGGTGTTGGGTTGGTTGGGAGCCGCCATTCGCAGCCTGAGAACAAAGCCGGCTGGAGGAAGCATGGTCCAGGGGAGCGTCATGGTGAGCTGGTGGAGCCTAGATCCAGCCATGCCTGAAGGGAGAGATTTTCCAAGACTTCTCAGCTCTTGTGAGATGAGCCACTCTCTTTTTTTTCAAGCTGCCAGGGTCAGCATAGTGGTCATTAGTGAGGCTTCCTGGTTCCCCTGCACCTTCTGAATTCCCTTCCTTATTTTCCAGATATCCACTTTCCTGGCCTCCTCTACAGCCACAACCAGGTAAGTGACCTAGGGACATGCCAGCCAGGTGCACCTGGCTGTCTGTGGTTCAGAAGAGAGGCAGAGAGGGCCTGATCCTGGCAAACTGCAGAGATTCCTTGAGCTTTGGAGCCAGCAGAGGCAGAAGGTGTGGCTAGCACCCTTGCAGGCAGCAGGGGCAAGGCTCTGTGCCTAGTGGTGGGGGCAGGAGGGCACCCTCCTGGTGGAGCGGCCGTGCCTGAAGCTCCTGGCCCCTTGGATTTTGTGGCCCCTCACATCCTCTGTAGCGTCTGTCTCTGCTTACATGGCCAGGTGGGTCCTGGTGTTGTCTGCTGTTTTAGCGAGGGCCTGTCTGACGCTTCTCCACTCACTCCCGTCCTTCTGAGGAGGGAGCGCGGCGCTCTCTGCGTCCATTCCCTTGCAGACTTCTGAGTGAAGTTTATACAAAGAGTCTATTCTAAATCATGCAAGTTTAATAAAGGTTCACAAAGAAGGCCTTAGCTGATAAATCTGGTTTAGAATTTTCTTATTAACCTTCCCCCAGCCATAATGACTTTTAAATTTAATTTTTTCAGATTTTCCGACACAAGGAAAGCCTCTCAGGCCCCTTGGGATGAAAAGGCAGGTATTTGGGAAAGGAGAAATTTTAAGAGCATCGGAATGGAATTTGTTGCCGAGACTGTAATCTAGAATTCAACTGTGCACCCATCCCGAGAGGTAGGAGGATTTTGTCTTCCTACGAGGGCCTTCCGGCACAATCCCAGCTCTGAGGCAGAAACTGTGAGCTTCTCAGGGGAAGGTCACCATTCGCAAGAGGAGGATTTGGGCAGGAACCCTGCAGCACAGCCGGTGTTTCAGGAAAAACCCACCCAGCTGTTCCCTTATGATGTCAGTGGGCGGTCAGGGCCGAGAGGGCCAGGCCCCATCCACACAATGTCCAGCAAGACCCTGGGGCCTCCAAGGCACCTATGCTGGGGCCACGGTGGTCCTGTCTTCAGGGAGAAGTCCCGCATCTGCCACACGGCAAGCGGCCACGTGGGAGGCAGTGGGAGGGAAGTTCTGTTCCCCACAGCAGGGTGGTCCCCTCTGTGTCACGGGGAGGAGGGAGCCCGTTCTTCAGGAGGCTGTGGGGTCGGATGGGCTGGCACAGTCAGGGCACTCGGTGCAGCACCTGGTACAGGGTCGGTGCCCACCTGCTGCTGTAATGACCAGGGCTAAGGGGTGGATTTCTGTGCCTGCCGAGATGCCGAGAGACCAGGGGGACACGGTGCAGACAAAGCTGACTTCTGGCTGGTGGGCGTGAGGACTCCAGCCCAGGCAGGTGTTTCATCAAGAAAGAAGGGGGCCAGGGGAGAGACGGAAGAGGGAGAAGCTGCCGGAGAGTCCCCAGGGAGAGCACAGGGCACACCCTGTCCCACATCCCACCAGTTCCCAGCAGCTGCCTGGTGACCCCCATGCTCCATGACCATGAACTCCAGGTACCCAGAGGACTGGGAGCCCCACGAGAGAGCCGCAGCCCCTGGCACGCCTGCGCCCCTTCCAGTGAGTTGCTGCCGTGCTGATCCTCATGCCCCTAACATCCAATCCCTGGTGGAGGCCCCGATGACGGCTCCCGCCAGCTCGGTGTGGGTGGGGCTACGGGCCCTGCAGCCCATACTCTCAGGACTGGCTGCTGTCCCCCGCTGGGGCAAGCCCACAGGACGCCGGCTTGGGGGAAGTCCCAGGGGCGGCCACTCAGATGCCTCCAAAGCACCAAGAGAAGCCACATTTGCAAGAGCAGAAACGCAAAACAGCTGGCAGCGGGCAGCAGCAGAGAGGAGAAGCTTGCGGGCCCTCGCAAGGAGACAGGCCTGTCTCAGAGAAGGGGCACCTTGGGCTCATGCTGGTGACAACCCCAGGGAAACAGAATGACAGCATTTTGGGAGCAGGAGGCAGAGGGGATTATATTATTGTTCCCATTTTGCAGGTAACGAAACTGAGGCTCCAGGAGGCAACCTGCCCGAGGTCACCAGCGGTGGGGAAGGGTCGCTGAGGCTGCACTGGCCCCCTGGGGGCTGCCTCTCGGCCCCATACCCTGCTTGTCTTGAGAGGTCACCTTCACGGTTTTTGTTTGGAATGGGGAATTATACATCCGCGAATGAATAACAATTGCTCATGGTAGAAAAATGGGAAAAACCAAAATCCACAGAAATAAAATATGTACATTTACACTTTTTTTTTTTTTTTTTTTATGGAGTCTCTTCTGCTGCCCACGCTGGAGTGCAATTGCTCGATCTTGGCTCACTGCAACCTCCACTTCCTGTGTTCAAGCAATTCTTCTGCCTCAGCCTCGTGAGTAGCTGGGATTACAAGCACCCGCCATCATGCCCAGCTAATTTTTGTATTTTTGTAGAGACGGGGTTTCACCATGTTGGCCAGGCTGATCTTGAACTCCTGACCTCAGGTGATCTGCCCGCCTCGGCCTCCCAAAGTGCTGGGATTACAGGCGTGAGCCACCATGCCTGGCCTTACAGATTTTAAATATGTAGATTAACCTCTGAGGAGCAGGGGCTGTGACTGCTTTGGTTTTCTCTGTAGCTGTCCTGTACCCTGGCATAGGGAGTGCCCAGTGCGGGGTGAAATAATGAATGAATGAATGAATGTGCAAACATAATGAACAAGGCCTGGCACGTGGCACACGAAGTTTCCTAAGATATTTAGTTTTTTAATTCAATGCTAATACTGTGTGTCTTTTTTTTTTTTTTTTTTTTTTTTGAGACAGTCTTGCTCTGTTGCCCAGGCTGGAGTTTAGTGGCATGATCACACCTCACTGCAGCCTCGAACTCCTGGGCTCAAGTGATCCTCCTGCCTCGGCCTCCCATGTAGCTGGAGCTACAGGCCTGTGCCACCTCTGCTGTGTGTGGTGTGAGATTTTTAATCAGCTCTCTGAGACAGGTGGTGACGAGGCGCTGACCTCATACTTAGACGTCTGCAATGCTAGAATCTTCCTCCTTCAAATATTCCCAAAACGACACCTATGTAGCCTCTTTGCTATAGGTGAAGTCAGGGCTCGACAACAAGCCTGTGGCCTGAATCTTTTTGTTTTTGTAAATAAAGTTTATTGGGACATGGCCACACCCACTCGCTTCTGTTTTGTCTGTGGTTGTTTTTGTCCTACAATGGCGGAGTTTCGGAGTTGCCACGGAGACCTTCCGGCAGCCAAAGCGCAAACATTTACTCTCCAGACCATTCAAGAAAAGGTGTGCCTGTCCCTGTGTCAACGGCCGCTCATTTGCCTGCAAATCCCTGGGAAGGTGGGGCCCCGCACGCTCCTCTGTGGATCTGCCCTTGCACTCCTGCAACGAGCACGGGAGCGGTTCTGCGGGGTGGTGACCGCGTGCCCCAGGGCATGGCTGGCATTTAGGGCACTGCCCATAGACCCCGGGTCTCCGTGGCTGGTGAAGGGCAGAGTGAGGCTGCTTCTCCTGGAATGGAGGCCCCGGGGGTCCTGGTTTCAGAGGCCCCGGCTTGACCTTTTCTGCCTCTGCATCGTTCATCCGTTTGTGCTGCCTGCCCTGCTCTGAAAACGGCCATCCACGATGCCTCCACGCCTGCCGAGGACCCGCCTTTCACGATTCTGGAACTCCAAGGACTGAACACGTCATGGTTTGAATTTCCATCAGTTGCTGGAAGCCAGAAGGTGCCCCTGGCTCCAGGCTGCTCCTCAGGTGTGACACGCAGGACTGCATCTTGGTGATTTGCTGCTGTACTTAATTTTTGTCTGTCCCTCCCACATCCTGTTTCCTGGCAACTAGACTAGTGGCGGTGAGTCAATATCTCATAAAGATGAGCCACGGCCGACTGCGAACTTTACTTCCACCTCTGACGGACAGTGGTGCCACTGAGGCCCAGCTTTGTCTCCTGGAAGGCTCAGGACCTCCTTTTGCCTCTTCCCACGGAGCAGGTCTGAATGAGCGGAAATGGGACTCTGCTGCTGCCCTTGTCACCCCAACCCCATGGGCCAGCGTGGGATTGATGCTTTCACTGAGCTGCCGCTTACTCAGAAGCGTCCGGCTGGTCCTAATGAGGCCTTGACGTTCCCAGCCACCCGGCGTTGGGTGCTGCTTCTCCCGGCCGGAGCCCGGTGTGGACGAGGGCATCTAATTGGAGGGAAGTGCCCAAGCCTGGTGCTCTTGCCCAGCCGGAGCTCAGCGGATCCATCACTGTAACTAGCACAGCTGAGCGCCGGCCCTGACGGCTCCTGTCTGGCTGGGGTGTGGTCTGCTGCGCCCCCCGACGGGGCTGGGAGCCACCTGGGGACACAGCCAGCTGTAGTTCTCTGTTCTGTGATTGCTTGCATTGGAAAATTGATAGCGTAAACCTACAAACCACAGCTCCTTTGGACATTACAACATTATTGCTTTTTGCAATTCTGTGTTCTATTCAGTAAAACAGTGACGATTTCTGCTGAGTTCTGAGTTCACAAATCAGAATTGTCGGATCTGTGGCTCTTGTGACCAGAAGGAAGTTGCAGGCCCTGCCCCTGCCCCTGCCCCTGCCCCTGCCCCTACTCCTCCTGCTCCTGCTCCTGCTCACTGCAATACCCGCTTGAGTGAAAGGACCAGTCATTTAGCTAAAAATTAACCTGAAACCCCTTTTTGGGCTTTTGGGTCCATAGACCAGATTGGCTTGCTCCCTTCCCAGAAAGGACAGAGAGGTTGACCCATCTTCTTACCCGGGATTGGAGCACAACTTCAGGCAGCTCCTGTCAGCAGCTCATCTGTGCCAGGGTGAAGGACACAATTGCTATCAATCGGCATTATTAATCATACAACAGCCACGATGGCCATATTGTTGCTGTTTTACTCATTGGTCTTTCTTTGAGTCAGGTACGCTGCCAAGGGACTGATATCCGGGAATATTCGGTCCTCACACACCCATCAGGCAGGAACAGATGAGGAAAGGGAGGCAACTTGCCCAAGGTCAGCAGCTGGTCAGTTGTGGAGCCAGGCTTGAAGCTGGGGAGTCTGGCCCAGCGCCCACCCCCAACCCCTGGGCCCCATCTCTCCCATGCAGCTTGGACAGGCGGGTCCAAGGAGGCCTGAGAGACTGGCGGAAGCACCGCGGCTGGGAGGACTAAGTCTTGACCCCCAGGCTGAGGGACCTCAAGTTTCTGTGTGTCTCTGCCTTGGGCTTGTCCTTTCCAGTCCGCCATTCCCCCACGTCTCTGGGCCTGTGTCCTGTTGGTCCCTGCCCCAGGGTGGACCCAGAGTTGGCCTCTCAGAAGCGCCCCCTCTGCAGCCGTCTCTGGGAAGCCGTCCCTGGTAGGAGGAGCAAGGAGGCGGGAGGTGATGTCGGGTGGGTGGGAGCTCCTGGTCCCTGCGGCTGCCACCTCTGTGCTCGGAAAAGTTGGCTCCAATTAATGATTTATGGCCGAGGCTTGCACTGTGCGGCCGAGGCTTGCACTGTGCACCCAAGCGTAATTAAGGGCACTGAGTCCGTTCTAATTTTAAGATGCCAAATTCCTGTGCTCAGGAACTCACGCTGAATCGTAATTTCTCCCTTCTTCTGCAGAAGTCAGGGACTCACAGGGCTTGGCCAGAGTGGGCACGCAGCCAGGCTTGAGGGGCTGGGGATCTGTGGGCGAGAGCTGCCCTGGGTCAGCCCAGCCAGTCCCCCCCGCTGAGGCTGGCCAGTAGCCTGTCTGCCCTGCAGAGCTGGGGCTGCCCTTCTTCCTGGCCAGGAGGGTCACTTCCGAGGAGGGACCGCAGGCAGCATCCTCGGGCGGCTTGGGGAGGGAACTTCCAGAAGGACCTCAAAAACATGGGGACCACAGACCCACAGACCCCAGGGCTCCTAAGTTCAGCTGACACCCTGCCTCTGGCAAAACCATTTTTAACCCCTTTGAGAGAAAAATCTGTATTTCCACATCAACTGTGATAACCAGGCACTGGCTGAGCTGGGCACATCCTAAACGCTGGGGACCCACTCATCCTGTCCTCGGAGACCCTGTGGGGAAACCACCACGACTCCCTTCCCTCTTTATTCAAAAAATATTTAACCTGGGCTGGGTGCGGTGGCTCACACCTGTAATCCCAGCAGTTTGGGAGGCCGAGGTGGGCGGATCACGAGGTCAGGAGATCAAGACCATCCTGGCTAACACAGTGAAACCCCATCACTACTAAGAATACAAAAAATTAGCCGGGCGTGGTGGCAGGCGCCTGTAGTTCCAGCTACTCGGGAGGCTGAGGTAGGAGAATGGCGTGAACCCAGGAGGCGGAGGTTGCAGTGAGCCGAGACCACGCCACTGCACTCCAGCCTGGGCGACAGAGCGAGACTCTGTCTCAAAAAAGAAAAAAATTAACCTGATTTTATTCATGCTTGCTTGGGACGGGGAATAGATCATTCACAAAAGACATACAGTAAAAACAAAATATGTCTTATCATGTATGCATTTTAAACTACAACAATGATATACCACCTCCCTCTTCTTTTCTTTTTTTTTTTTGAGACAGGCTAGTGTGCAATGGTGCAATCTCGATTCACTGCACCCTCCACCTCCCAGGTTCAAGCAGTTCTCTGCCTCAGCCTCTTGAGTAGCTGGGATTACAGGTGCGCACCACCACACCCGGCTAATTTTTTTTTAAAATATATATTTTTAGTAGAGATGGGGTTTCACATCTTGGCCAGGCTGGTCTTGAACTCCGGACCTCGTGATCCACCCACCTTGGCCTCCCAAAGTGCTGGGATTACAGGCTTGGGCCACTGCGCCCGGCCCTCCCTCTTCTTTTAACAGCTGGGGAAACTGGGCTGAGAAGGTTTTGGTGACATTGTTGTAAGCCCCTCACCTATGAAAGACCGAGACGGGACAGGACTCCAGGTCTGTTAAAGCTGGAACCTTGTCTGCTCGCCACCCAGCTCCATGCCCCTGGGATGGGGGTCTGGGCACCACCCATGGCATTTTTAGAGCAGATTTATATTGCTGAAGTCTTAAACTTTCACATAGATCAGCAGTGCTCCCGACGACACCTTGAGGTGGGATTAATTCTAGGTGGAAAGCCGGGATAAAATCCTGCGGCTCAGAGAGGTCCAGCTCTCCGGCCTTGGCTACACAGCAGGCAGGGACCAAGGGTGGGGCCAGGGCTGGGCTTCCTGACTCCAGGGGACCCCCCCTCCGTGAGCATGTGTGTGGATGGGGTGGGGGTGGCCTGGAGGAAGGCCTGTGATGCCAGATCTCCAGGGTCACTCTGTGCTGTCTGGACCTGTCCCTGAGAACTTCACTGCAGGACCCATCGGTGTTAATAGGAGGCTTTGGGGCAGGGTCTGAAGCTTGTGTCCTCTGTGGCCACCAGCTTCTAGCGCAGCAGACCCCATGCTCACCTGCTGGAGGGAGTGCTGAGGGCCGAGGGTCCCCACTCAGCCTCACGTGGGCAGTGCAGCCGCGCTCAGAGCCAGTGAAGGGAAAATAACTTTTAATTAACATTTAGGACTCAGAATCGGATCATGCAAATCCCCTGCATCTCTGTAGCTTCTGCTGATTGTTCTTGATTAGGCTTGGTAAAAATAGCCTGGCGGCATGTGCGGCAGTGTGGCCGGCCTTCGCCATCCTGCTGGCCCCTCTGCCTGCTCCGTCCCACGGTGAGGCATGGACAGTGTCCCGGGGCTCCTGCCTGTCACCCATCTCTAGGAGGACACACCAAGGGCCATCCTAACCCCGAGTATTTACTGACACCCCTTCTCCAGGACCATGCGACCCAGTCACCTGGAAAAGCCACCGCAGGGTGGAGGGAACCCTCCCTGCCAGGGTCATCCGTCCATTGTCCACCCACTAGCATGTCACCCCGCCGGCCTGACCAAAGCAGTGGACTGCAGATCCTCTCCCGGACTGTGTTAGACTGGGAGGTGCCGCAGACACTGGCTGAGAAGCATCTAGACATATCTGCGTACTCCTCAAGAGATGCCGTTCCCCTGCCCCGTGATCTGGGGTCTGGGACCTGCCTGAGGCCCCCTGGAACCAAGGATGGACAATGGCCCATCTCTGGGAGGCGCACGAGGCTGCAGTAGCCTGTGCTTAGCCATTGGAAAAGCACAGAGACGCCTCTCTCTAATAAATGCCATGGGGACCCTCTGCCCCAGTCCCAGGAGGAGGAGCCCCAGGGTGGTGTGGCCGGTCAGCAGTTGCGGCGAGGGTAGCTCAGTGCCAAGGGCTGCTTAGTGCTGGTCAGTGGGGGTGGCTGGTCAGTGCTGGTGGCTAGTCAGTCCTCATGGCTGGTCAGTGTTGGTTAGTGCTGGTCAGTGCTGGTGGCTGGTCATTTCTGGTCAGTGCTGGTAAATGGTGGTGGCTGGTCAGCGCTGGTGGCTGATCAGTGCTGGTCAGTGCTTATGCTGGTCAGTGCTTGTGGCTGGTCCACTAGGTCTAGAAGGGCCTCTGCCTTGGCCTCCCAGAGTCTCGGGATGGGGACCAGAGATGAGGGGTAGGGCTTGCCTCCCAGAGTCTCGGGATGGGGACCAGAGACGAGGGGTAGGGCTTGCAATGGAATGATGGGATTCTCTGAATTTTGGGATTTAGGACCACAATGCCCCTTGTTTATCTTCTGCCCCCCAACGTCTCAGAGAATCAGGCCATCCCCACCTTTCGTTCATGGGGACACAGAGGCAGGAATTCTCCCCTGCAATGTGCTTTAAGTTGCCTTGAGTCAAATGCAGAATTCTGTGGGGGGCTCAGTGTGACTCCCTGGGCTGGCCGTTTTTCAGAGCATGTGCAGGTCAGGGACATCCTGCCGGTTCTCCATCTTCCTTCACAGGGATGCTGGCTCCGAGAAAGGCAGAGACACCTGCTCCACACAATTTGGGTCACCTTCTCCCCTCCCTCCCTGCCATCACTTCCTTTTCTTTCTCGGAGTCAGGGAGGAAGGACAGCTGGGGCTGTCCGGCCAGCTGTGTGGGTGCAGCCCTGCTGCGCTCTTGGGCCTGGACGTTATTATTCTTCAGGGCCCTGGGGTTAGCAGCTGCTTCCCCTATGTCCAGACTCCCCGGCAGCCTGGCCCTGAGCTTTTCCTGACCATTGCTCACTGGCCGGAAGAGAGCAAATAGAGACTGAAGCCAAGAGAGAGAAGCAGGTGTTTTCCAAACCATCTGAACGCCTTCCTGGCCAATTGTATGAGAGCTGTTGCATCCTGGGGCTGCGCCCGGTTAAATGCTCCTCGGGCTCCTGGTTGCCCTGGCCGCTTGCTGCCTGGACTCACTGCCAGGAGCCTGGGGGAGCACCTAGAGCCCCCCTGCCCTGCTGCAGTGGGGCTGAGCTGGCTTCCTTCGCTGTGATCTGCCATCTTCCCACCAGATGGCGTTGTGTGCTCACAGCCACCTCCGCCTGGTGCAGCTGCGCCCCAGGCCTGGGATGCAGGACGCAGGAGGCCCAGATGCGGGACGGCCGCTGTGGCGAGGGGCTCTGGCCTTAGTTGCCTTCTCAGCAAGCCGGCCCACCCACCGGGAGGAGCGTCTCCCTCCTGACCCCATCCCTTCCCCTCTCCCTCTTAGCCTCCCGGAGCCCAGAGTCCTCATCTGTCACTGGGTTGGTCGGGGTTGGCTGGGATCAGAGGCTAGCTCTGCACCCTGGCTGTACCCTGGCCGCACCCTGGCCTCACCCTGGTGCCCGAGGGGCACCTCCACAGATGCAGCTGGTGTGCCACTGTCATTGCTATCATGACTGACACACAGCTCTGCGGGGGCCTAGGCCTGGGGGAGAAGGGGGTGATATGGTGGTAGGAGCAGAGAAGACCCTGAGATCCTGGCATCTCAGGGCCACGGCCACTCTGGGAGCCCTCGCTGACTCTCCCCTCTGCACGTCCCAGCCTGGTGCCTTCGACCTTTCTAGAGGGGCTCCCGGGGCTGGGCCACGTGCCCATGATGTCAGCACTGCCACACGGGGCCCAAAATGACAGCCTGGGGACACCGTGTCACACCCCATGGACCCAGGGAATCACCACAAAGGGTCCTGGTTGGTAAGCAGGGCGACAGCCAAGGCCGGGACCTCCCCAGATCGCTGGGCAGCAGGGAAGTGGGGTCATCAAATGTCTGTCGGCGCAGTGGCCTCTGCAGATTTCAAGGGAAGGGTCCCTCCTGGTGGTGCAGCTGCCCTGCTGGAATCCAGAGGAAGTGGGGGCTGCATGCCTTACAGCCCTGTCTCCACCGTGTTCCCACCAGAGAGAGTTTGGTCCCCTGTGAACTAGGGGCTCGGGGCTCACACTGGACTTTCAACAACATTCAGTGAATGGTCACTCAGGCCCCAGGCAGCCGGTATGGGGCCCAGTCACAACCCCCTTTCTGCCGACAGCAGGCCACAGAGGGTCAGCCAAGTTCCACACACAGGGATGGACCCGCCATGCCAAGGCCCCATCTGGGCATTCCCCAAGCGGGTCCCACACGCAGGCCTTCCAAAGTGGCAGTGACATCAGCCCAGGCAGTACCAGTCAACTCCTCCAGACATCACAGAGATGCCTCCCAGGTGGCAACCGACCTCCGCCGCCGGTCCCCTCCCTGACTGAGCCCCGGCCTCTCTCCTACTGCGCACATCAGGAATCGAGCCACTCCACACAGCAGCCTCCGCTGCCCAGGGCCTTTCTTACACGCTATCTGCCAAGTGCCCGTCAGGCAGAGCCGCAGAGAGAGAGGAGGCTGTGCCGCACGCCAGTGCATTCCTGCCCTGCACGGGCCATGCGTCACTGGGCAGCTTCGAGGGACTCACCGTGCTGGCGGTAAATTCTGGCGGGTTGTCATTCACATCTGTCACCGTGATGATGGCTGTGGCTGTGTTTGAGAGGCCATAGTTGAGATTTCCTTCCATATCTGTGGCCTGAACGATGACTGTGTACTGCTGAACTTTCTGGAAGGGAGACACCAGTTGAGAAAGAACAGAAAATCAGTTTGGGTTTTAATTGACAGGGCACTTATCAAAAGAAATCCGTTTACAGGAACGGAGTTCCTGGAACCGGTTCTCTTTCACTGGGGGCTGTGTGCTGGGCGCAGGGCCCTTTCCAAGCCTCCTGGTTGACACTGCCTGTCGGAGTAAGTTTCTCCTCCCCTTGCCATGCGTTAAGGTGCGGCATGAAGAGGTTTGCCTGTGTTTTCATCTCAGTGGCCCTGCCGTTGATAGGGGCAGATCACGTTTGGTGCCAAGATAGAAGGGAGGAGAACAGGGGAGCCCAGAGGGCACTGGGGTTGCATTCGGTCTAGAAAACCAAGCAGGGACAGTTTGCAAAGGGAGGGATGCCCCACAGACGCGGGTCAGGAGGGACTTCGTTTCTTGAGTGTTTAGCTTGTCCAGCTGAACTACAGGTCAGATATTCAAATGGGAAGAAAAGACAAACCCTTTCCCTTCTCTGTGCAGGTGCGGAGATGCAAGCATGCTTTCTGCTGGAAAAGCAGTCCTGACAGTTTACCGTGCAGGCGCAGGTGTGAGCTTTAAATGGCAAATAAGTCTTGGCAGGATGAATGCATTTTATTAGGCATTGAAGGAGTCTGATGGCCTTTCTCCTCAGGGCCCTTGCTGGGAGTCCATCAGTGCCAAAATCCCTGAGCTGGCAGAGGTGGCTTTTCCACACCTCTGTTCTGACCCAGAGGCCATGAACTTCTGAGGTGACAGCTGAGGACAGGCTTGTGGGCAGCTCCCTGCTGGGACCACAGCCCGCCTCTCACCAGTACCATTAGGGGAGGGGGATTCTGGGGACCAAAGCGAAAAGGGAACCTGTGAAATGCTCTCCAAGTGACTAACAATCCTGAGTCGTGCTTCTCTAAGAGGTTAAGGGAAAAGACCAGCTCCTAGCGGTGTGATTCAGTGAAACGTGCTCAAGTTCCATAAACTGGCTCCGTAAGGAATTACAAACAGCAGATGGTCACCAACCTTTTCTCTTTCCAACCATCACCCATCCATCCATCCATCCATCCACCCAGCCACCCACCCCCACATCCACCATCCCTCTATTCACCCATCCATCCATCCACTCACCCACCCATCCACCATCCCTCTATTCACCCATCCATCCATCCATCCACTCACCCACCCATCCACCATCCCTCTATTCACCCATCCATCCATCCATCCACTCACCCACTCATCCACTATCCCTCTATTCACCCATCCATCCATCTATCCAACCACTCACCAACCCATCCACTATCCCTCTATCTGCCCCACACCCATCGATCCACCCACCTACCCACCCACCCACAATCCCTCTATTCATGCACCCATCCACCATCTCTCTATTCGCCCACCCATCTATCCATCCACCCACCTACCCATCCACCATCCCTCTACTCATCCGCCAATCCGTCTATCCCTCTATTCACCCACCCATCCATTTATCTATCCACTCACCCCTCCATCCACCATCCCTCTATTCACCCATCCATCCATTTATCCCTCTATTCACCCACCCATTCATTTATCCACCCACCCACCCAACCACCATCACTCTATTCACCCACCCATCCATCTATCCCTCTATTTACCCACCCATCCATCTATCCATCCACCCACCCACCCATCCACCATCCCTGTGGTCACCCATCCATCTATCCCTCTATTCAGCCACCCATTCATTTATCCACCCACCCACCCAACCACCATCCCTCTATTCACCCACTCGTCCATCTATCCCTCTATTCACCCACCCATCCATCTATCCATCCACCCACCCATCCAGCATCCCTCTACTCACCCATCCATCTATCTCTCTATTCACCCACCCATCCATCTATCCATCCACCCTCCCACCCACCCATCCACCATCCCTCTACTCACCCATCCACCCATCTATCCCTCTATTCACCCACCCATCCATTTATCCATCCACTTACCTACCCATACACCATCCCTCCCTCCCTCTTTCTACCTTTCCATCCCTCTGTCTTTCTATTCCTTCCTCCTTCCCTCTAAGACCAGCCAGCCCCAAGCCAAACTGGCAGCTGATGAGAGATGGATGAATGAGCCCAGCCAAGGATGGAAGGGTTTTCCAGCTGAGCCTAGCCCAAATTGCCAATTTGTGGAATTGTGAGCTAAATAAATAGAAATAAATGGTGGTTGTTTTAGGCTGCTAAGTTTTGGGATCTTTTATTATGCAGCAAAAGCTCCCTGGCATACATCCAAACCCTCAACATGGCCACAGCACTCCATGTGTCATGGCTGCTAACCCCCTCTGTGGCCTCATCTTGAATCAAGCTCCCCAGCCCCTAGATGTCCCTTTCCCATGGAATTCTCTCCCAGCCCTCCAGCCCAGCATGCTCTCAGCTCAGCCTGCTCTTCATCCATGACTCATTCCTGGCTTGCACTTTTACGTTTATTGTGTCCTCCCTTGATCATTGTCTGTAACCCTTGCCAACCTGAGCTCTGGGGGGCCATGGCTGTCTCATCCATCACCCACTGTGTCTCCAGGGTCAAACGTGGGCCCAACACAGAGTAGGTGCCCCATGACAGCAAGTTAATGTTGCCAATGATTGTGGTGGCAACAGAAGCTCTGAGGAATGACAGAGGGGCCTGGGTGCTCCATAAGGTGTCTGGACAGTCTGTGGACAGCTGTGAGTCACCAACGGGCTTTAAGTGCATCACAGGATCCAACTTATACATGACAGCAAGCGATGGCCTGTGGGCTGAATCTGCGCATCACTATTATTGTAAATAAAGTTTTATTGACACATGGCTATGCTCTTTTATTGACACATTATCTATGGCTGCTTTCACACTCTCAAGGCAGAGCTGAGTATCTGCACAGAGACTGTATGCCCCACAAAACCTAAAATATGGACCACCTGGTACTTTATAGAAGACGTTTGCTGACCTTGGGCTCCAATATCAGGCAGTGTAAGCCACTGCCACCTGGACAGGCCTGAGAGCAAGGCCACAAGCATCTCAGGGAGGGAGGGCTGGGGATCCAGAGGAGGCTTCCAGGAAGAGGCAGTCACACTGCCTGAAGGTGACAGGGTGAACTGAGGGCAGGGCTGGGAGGTGCGGTTGGACCCGGGAGGTGGGAACACGGCAGCCAATCAGGGTCTGGGGTGTTCCACAAGGCCTCCCACCCAGAACAGGGTGACTGTGGCTTGGTGACCAGGCCCAGCCTACATGGGGCCAGGGCTCAGTGCAGTGGGGCGCTGGCTCCTGGGCCCTCCAGCCCCAACATGTGCCTCATCATGCAGCCCTGGCTGTTGTTCTGAGAGATCTCCCTCAAGGAGGCAGGTGTCAGGGGCCTCTCGGAAGGGCAGGAAACTGCTTCTTGGCCCATGCCTGCGTGGTCCCTGCAGCAGATCAGTCACCTGGAGAAGGGGGGAGGACTGCAGCACTCAGAGCTCCTGCAGGGCCGGGGAGAGTGGGCGGCTCAGGCCCCCTGCAGGAGAGGGTTCCAGGGGGAGGCTGTGAGGCTCAGCAGGACAGGGAGGGGCCTGCAGGCTGCAGAGCCGTCAGCAACCTTGGCCTCCTGTATTTGGCAGCCCCCTCTGTAAAATGGGACACGACTGTGTTCTGCTGACCACATAGCCGTGACCAGTTGCTGAGACAGTGAACAGGAACGTGCAGCCCAAACCAGGTTTTCATTATTTCTCTCCCACTGTTGGCTTTCTCCCCTCCCTCGTTACCCCAACATTTGCCCCACATGGCGCCCTGTCTGCACTGTGCACCCCACACCTCCTATCCCTGCCCCTCTGTGCTTGCGGGTGTGTTGTCCCTCTCCCTCCTTCCGCTGGTGAGACCCCACTCTTCCTTCCAAAATGAGCTCCCCTAAAGTCTCTGGAATTGATTTTGCTTCTCTCATTAACCCTGGAGGTGCAGCGTGACCCGGACAGCCACAACCCTGCCCACATCTGCTGTAGGCTGGACTCTCCTGGAAGACCCAGAGTGCCATGAGGACTGAGTCTTGTCCAGCTTTGTGTCCAAAGTGCCAGATACAGACCTGGCACACAGTAGGTAATCGGTGTCTGTTGAGGGAACCAAGTTAATGAGTCGTGTCTAACAGAGCTGACATTTACCAAGATGAATAGAACTTGGAGTCAAGGAGATACAAAAAAAACCAGAAATAGCTTACACTTACTTGGGTGCTATATCCTACTTTGATAGTTTTCTCACAGTAGGTTAACCCTTACCTGCTCCCCTTCTTCCTTTCTCCCTCATCCGTCTACCCATCCCCTTACCCATCCATCCATCCATCATTTACCCATCCATCATCTGCACATCCATCATGCATCATCCACCCATCCATCCATTCATAATCCATCCATCCACCTGTCCAGCATCCATCATCCACCCATGCATCCATCATCCATCCATCCACTCACCCTTCCATCATCCATTTATCCATCCATCCATCCACCCGTCATCTATCCATCCATCATCCATCCATCCATCCACCCATCTACCATCCACCATCTGCTTACCCATCCATTATCCATCTATCCATACATCCATTCACTCACCCATCCATCATCCATCTATCCATCCATCCATCCACCCTTCTATCATCCACCATCTACTTACCCATCCATTATCCATCTATGCATCCATCATGTATCCATCCATCCACTCACCCATCCAACATCCATCTATCCATCCATCATCTATCCATCCATCATCCAACCATCCATTCACCCATCCATCATCTACCATCCACCATCCACTCACCCATCCATGATGCATAATCCATCCATGCATCCATCCATCCATCCATCCATCCACCCATGCATCCATCATCTATCCATCCATCATCCAACTATCCACTCACTCATCCATCATTGATCCATCCACCCATCCATCAGCCACCTATCCATCCACCCATCATCCATCCATCCATCATCCAACCATCCACTCACTCATCCATCATCGATCCATCTACCCATCCATCATCTATCCATCCATCCATTCACTCACCCATCCACCATCCATCTATCCATCCATCCATTATCTATCCATCCATCATCCAACCATCCATCCACCCATCCATCATCCACCATCCACCATCCACTCACCCATCCATCATGCATAATCCATCCATGCATCCATCCATCCATCCATCATCCATCTGTCTGTCCATCCATCCATCATCTATCCATCCATCATCCAACTATCCACTCACTCATCCATCATTGATCCATCCACCCATCCATCATCCACCTATCCATCCATCCATCCATCATCTATCCACCCATCATCCATCCATCCACTAACTCATTCATCATCGATCCATCTACCCATCCATCATCCATCATCCACCATCCACTTACTCATCCATCATCCATCCATCCATCATCCATCCATCATCCACTCACTCATCCATCATCTATCCATCCATCCATCCATCCATCCATGCATCATCCATTCATCTATCACCCATCATCTACCCACCCATCCCTCATCCATCATCCACCATCCACCCACCCATCCATCATCCATCATCCACCATCCACTCACCCATCCATCCATCCATCCATCCATCCATCCATCCATCCATCCATCCATGCTTTAAAGAGACCTCTCCTTATGTCAGGTGGATTACAACCAACCAATAAGGAAGCTGAGGTCCTCTCATCCATCCATGAGATAAGGAAACTGAGGGAGGTGAGAGAGGCTTCTACGGAAGTGCAAGGGGAGCTGGTTGAGGAAGGAAGGTGGGGGCTCACTAGAGGGAGGAGGGAGTGATAGCATGAGCTGCAGGCACAGCAGGGCTGGGGCAGGAGGTATGAGGTGCATGGTGCAGAACAGGGCATTGTTGGGGGCTAATGCAGAGGCCGTGAGGGAGGGGAGAAAGCCAACAATGGGGAGAGAACAATAAAAAAGCATGTTCCTGTTCACTATTTCAGTGACTGGTGTCACACTGCGTGGTCAGTGGAGCTCATATTTCTTTACCATTTACGGAGGGGAAGACTGAGTCCAGTGAGGGCCAGGCAGTCCCATGACCTCCCCAGTTCTACACAGCTGACCAGGGCAGAGCGAGGGGACCGGTCAGGGTCCCTGATGCTGTGTCAGTCTGCGCTTCAGGCCTTTGTTATGGATGGGACTCAGGCAGCACCAATGATGTCCATGGTGACATCAGCCCGATGCCCGCTGGGTCTCCTGAATGTGGGATGGACATCATGGAAACAGCAGAGCTGGCGCCACCCTTGACTGGCTGCTCTTGGCAACCTCAGGGTCAGGATCTGCCTTCTAACTGTGGACCAATGTGTGTCCAGACATTCGCTGGGCCTGAGGCCTTGGACTTCATGGTACTACCCATAGCAGAGGTCCCTTCCCCAAGGTTTCTGTGCCTCAGGATCCCAACAGAAAGAAAATGTGCCCTCCTGTTCATCAAGGCAGAGACCAGCCAGCCCACCTCTGGAAGCTTCCCCACCCTGGCTGTGTTCTCCTTCACCTGTGAGCACCCGGCCCTCCCTTGCAGCGGCTGGACGGAGCCTGAAGGTTGGCTCTGCCTCTAGGTAGGAGGCTGCAGAGATGGGCTGGGGACGGTGCCAGCAGCGGTGGACAGGCTTGCCAATGAGAACCCAAATGTCAGATACCCATGCCACCTTGGTGAGGGGCCGGGATCCTGCCTGCGGAGTCTCATTTCATCCATGTCCCATCTGTGTGTACCGGCAGTGGCGGCGGCTCTGCAGGGATGTGGCTGCATCTCACTTCAGTCCCCGCTCCCCCAGGAAACGGAATCAGGTTTTCTGACAGGGCAGCAGGCAGCCTCGCTGTGGACACTCTTCATTTCTCACCCAAGTTTCTCTTGTTCTTTACAAATCCGATTTTCTTCCCCCTCCCAGGACAGATTTGGAAATTGAAGCTGCAGGGGGCTCTCAGCAGCCTCTTTCCTGGGCGTGATGTCCCCCTCAGGAGGTGCCCCACTGCCTGCCTGCACCGGCCCCCCTCGGCCACCCATCCTGCAGCGTAGGGTCCCCAGGCTGCTCTCAGCTACATGTTTATTTGGCTGTGGCTGCCTCCTCCCGCAGCATGGCACCGCCAGAAGGACCAGACTGGAAAACAGGAGACTGACACGGGCCGGCAGGAAAGGGAGGGATCCAAGCGGAGAAGAATGTCAGCCTGCAGAGAAACTGCTGTCACAGACTTGCGGCATGACATCATTCTCCAAGTCTCCATTTCTTCAGTCATCCAATCAGAGCCGGTTCATGGAAGCCACCCCTGGCTGTGGTGCTTTCAATGTATAGGAAAGAAATGTATTCTTTTCTATATATTGAAAATAAATCAAGCATCGTAGAAACCCAGAGACATGTACAGTGTATTGTGTGTGTGCATGTGTGTATGCGTGCTTGTGCACGAGTGTGCATGCCTGTGTGTGCGTGTATACACACGTGTATGTGTGCACCTCTGTATGCATGTAAACCCACATGTGCATGGATGTGCATGCGTGTTGTGTGTGTGTGTGTGCAGCTGACTGCCACTAGAGGGCAGCTGGGTCTTGATTTCGAGAGGCAGGGCAGGGGTGTCTCCTGGCTGGGTAGGGGCAGGAAGCTAGACCCGCAGGAAGGAAGAACTCTCCCAGGGGACCCCCGGAAGCAGCCAGTGGCCTTCCCGTTGGCAGGGCTTCTGAAGTCCAGGCAGGGTTGGCCTGGCTCCCCTGGGAGCACTGGGGAGGTGGGGTCAGGCTCCTGACCTCATCACTGTGCCCATCTCCCCCTTTTCTGGGATGTTCTCTGGGGTGAGAGGGTGGGTGGGCAGGACCCAGGCATGTGCTCATGAGGCGGTCATGGGAGCTCCTGCAAACAGGCCTCCTTGCAGACGTGGCTGATCTGCATGTAGCGGGCCTGGGCTGGCTTGGCTGGAGGTTTCGACACATTTATCTAAAAGGCTTACATTGGGCTGCTCCCTTTGCCCTCAAGTGCATTTCATTCCTGTGAGGCGGGCAAGGGGAGCCCCACGTTAACCACAGGGCAGGGCCCTGTTCTCAGAAGTGTCTGGCACCTCCTCCCGGTGCCCCAACAGGCCTCGCTGTGTGCAGTCCTCCAAGGGCCCGTGTGGCACAGGGGCACGGCGCCCTCCCACTTTGCAGAAGATGAAGGCCTGGGACTTCCCTGAGGTCAGGGGCTGGTGAGTGCTCTGGAGGCCAGCAAGTGTCTCCCAGCCCTCATAGGACAAACAGATGACCCAGGACTCAGCTCTGGACCAGCGTCCCAGCGTCCTCTCTCCATAGCTGACATGTGCAGCCTCTGCTCCCCACGTCAACCCTCGATGGAGGTGTCTGGGCGGGCAGCGGGAGTCCTGCACAGCTGGGTGTGCCCTGCTGGATGCATGCTCCTGTCCTGGGCTGGGGCCCCTACCCTTCCTGCTTCTGCCAGGTGCAGAGAATTCATTAAAAAGTGATTTGGCCATTTTCAAGTTCAAGAGGAGGGAAGAAAACCACAGTGGGCCATCCCTGGGGTTTTTGCTCACCTCCCCATAGCTCAGCATGTAAATTTTGCAGAACAGCCATCAATAATGCAGGCGGCCAGCCTGCCCTAGAAAGGCATCAAA